>NC_000009.12:35767575-35919090 GCF_000001405.40 Homo sapiens | reverse complement strand
TAATAGAAACAATACTGTAAGAACAACCTTGGACGTACATGCTTGCACACTTGCGTGGGTGTTTCTGTAGGGTAAGGATAAGGATGACTGGGTTTGCACATTGCCCAACACCTGGTGCAGGGCCTGACAATTGTCACATTATCACTCTCATCCTACTTACTAGGAAATGTAATTTCTGACTCCCTTCCCTATCTCTAAGTGGTCAGCCCACCCATACTCCAGACCCAACAGCCTTCTTCAGCTGTAAGACCTGACCCCCTCAGAGGCCACCTTTCTCTGTCTCTTGGCGGCCAGGAATAGATTTAACTAGAGGAGCTAATTCAAGGCTAAGTCTTTGTGAGCACTAATGGTTGAGCTAAGAATACTTTGTTGCTATAACAACTTAGCATAAATATAGTGGCTTAAAACAACACAAATGTATTATCTTATAGTTCTGGAGATCAGAGACCAAAATAGGACTCACTAGGCTAAAATCAAAATGTTGGCAGGGCAGGCCGGGCGCGGTGGCTCACGCCTGTAATCCCAGCACTTTGGGAGGCTGAGACGGGCGGATCACAAGGTCAGGAGATCGAGACTATCCTGGCTAACACAGTGAAACCCCATCTCTACTAAAAATACAAAAAACTAGCCGGGCGGGGAGGTTGAGGCAGGAGAATGGCGTGAACCTGGGAGGCGGAGCTTGCAGTGAGCCGAGATCGCACCACTGCACTCCAGCCCGGGCGACAGAGCGAGACTCAGTCTCAAAAAAAAAAAAAAAAAAAGATGTTGGCAGGGCTATGTTCCCATCTGGAGGCAACTGGGGAGAATGCTTTTCCTTGTCTTTTCCTTTCTGGTTTCTAGAGACTCTCACACTCCTTGGCTGGTGGCCTGCTTCTGTCTTCAGGTCTTTCTTACATCACCTGCCCTGACTCCTCTGCCCTCCTCCTCCACAGTGAAGGGACATTTCTTACTGCATTGGGCCTGCCCAGATAATCTGGGATAATCTTATTTAAGGTCTACCGATTAGCAACTGTGATTTCATCTGCAATCTTAATTCCCCTTGGTGAACATAACATTTTCTCAGCTTCTAGGGATTAGGACATGGACATCTTTGAGGGATGATTATTATGCCTACCACAGATAGCGAACTCTGAAGGTGGGAACAGAGACCCACCCAATAGCCCTCTAAGGAGTTAGGTCTGTGTCCAAGAAAGAGCTCTCTGGCGGCCGGGTGGGCAGGGGTGAGGTGAGGCCAGGGAGGCCCATAAGGAGATGACATGGTGAGGTCTGCGCAAGCACAGTGACAGTGGGGATGATGGAGGACATGCATCCACCCCTTGCCTCAGGCCAGGCCCCACACCAGGGCTGTGGCTGTGCCTGTATCTCAGGAGGACAAGGACAGAGGGTCCCTGTATGAGCCACCACAGCCCTGGCTTCCTAAGTGGGGTCCGTAGGCAGCTGACAAGGCCTCAGCCTGGAAGTCGTAGGTGGTTGCCAGGAAGCTCCTCCCCAGCTGTGGACCCTGCTGTCTCCCTCCACTGCTGGGATGGGGAAGAGTTGCTTTGGCAGGCTCCTCAGTCTTGCCTGAACTGGGGAGCTGGGATTAGGAGCCTTACCCTGTCCCAGGAGGTGCAGGCTGGGTGTCGTACAGCCAGGCCTCTCACTCAGGCTAGTGAGCCCCAGGCTGCTCCCTGTACTCTCCTCAGCCCACCCAACCTGCCCAGAAGCTCCAGCAGCCACCCCAACACCCAGACTCCGGTGTTCCTGGAAACTTGGCAAACCCCTACCGCTTGCAACTCCCCAGCCTTGCCTACCTCAGCCATGTGAATTAGGCAGAAGAGAGGTGTGTGTCTGTGTGTATGTGTGTGTGTGTCCTTATCATTGTATCTGTTCTGAGAAATTCATCTGCCCCCATTTTTGTGTCTATGCCTGACTGTGTTTTTGTATCTCTTAGATTGGAGTTGGTTTGTTTTATAATTTTTAAAATAACTTTTGTTCCTTTGTTAGGTTCTTGCTCTTTCTTATTCAAGAGCAAATCATTCATTATGAGAAATTCAGATAAACACAAAGGGAAAACATTTAAAATGCACAAATAGGCAAGGCGCAGTGGCTCACGCCTGTAATCTCAGCACTTTGGGAGGCCGAGGTGGGCAGATCACCTGAGGTCAGGAGTTCAAGACCAGCCTGGCCAACATGGTTAAACCCTGTCTCTACTAAAAATACAAAATTAGCCAAGTGTGGTAGCGCCTGCCTGTAGTCCCAGCTACTTGGGAGGCTGAGGCAGGAGAATCACTTGAACCCAGGAGGCAGAGGATGCAGTGAGCCGAGATCGTGCCACTGCACTCCAGCCTGGGCAAAGAGAGCAAAGTTCTATCTCAAAAAAAAAAAAAAGTAAGTAAATAAAAAATAAAATGCACAAACAGTCCCACCCACCCAGAGACAATGGCCTATCAACACCTCGGCATACAGCTCTCCACATCGTCTTCTATGCGTCTAAGGGTGCAGCTACATTTATAGTCCTCTAATTCCCTTTTAATTTACCAACACATGATAAATGCCCTTTCAGGTTAATGAGTTTAAATTTACCTCATTGTCGTTAACACCTGCCTAGCATTTGATTCTGTGGCTGTGTTGCAATTTGCCAGCCCAGCCCCCTCCTGCTGGTGTCGAGGTGGTTTCTAACTTTTCACTATTACGAATATGCTGGATGGAGGCACAGGGCAGGGGGTGCAGGTCTCTGTCTCCAACTGAGTCTGCCTTTTCAAATGTCATGTCCTCAGGGGAATGGGGACCTGGCAAGGTACAATGATCCTTTTCTACTCCCTGGAACAAGCAGTTTCCTTTAAGGAAGGTACTTTTCCGGAAAACATGTTATTTCAAGGCCTCCTAGATTCCAGAATCCAGCCTGTCCCAGCGAGAAACGCCACCCTGGTTTCAGGTCCAGGAATGCGGAGAAAGAGCAGGGCGAGGGTTGGAGGTGGTGGGGAGGAGGGCAGGCAGAGCGGGGCGGGCCTCTTTCCCTTGACCGTTCCTGACAGCTGGGTTCCCAGGATCTTCACTCTAACACGTCCTCTAGACAAGCCGGGATGGGATTCTTACCTTCTCCGTACAGCCAGGGAAACTGAGGCCCAGCAACTGAGTGGCAGAAGTGGGGCTCGGATTAGCCTTTCCACGTCCCAGTCGGGCTAGACAGAACTGAGCAGGGTTCTCCCTGCTCTTTGCCCCATGTGGAGCTGAGAGAAGCCCCAGGAAGTGAAGGAGAAGCAAGACTCATTGCTCAGAGAGGCACGGCCTGTATCTCTGCAGGTGCAAAGCCTTAGGAAGGCCTTAAGCAGGCTGGGTCAGGACTGATGTCTGTTAACCCTTAATTCCAGCCGTCCACAGAAGTTTACTCTATGAGGGAGGCTTCCTGGACTGTCAATTAAAACTGTACAGGGCAAAGACCTGCTTCTTCTTCAAGTCAAAGATGCAGATGGGGCCGGGAGTGGTGGCTCACACCTGTAATCCCAGCATTTTGGGAGGCCGAGGCCAGTGGATCACTTCAGGCCAGGAGTTTGACACCAGCCTGGCCAACGTGGTGAAACCCCATCTCTGCAAAAACTACAAAAATTAGCCAGGGGTGGTCGTGTGCACCTTTAATCCCAGCTACTCGGGAGGCTGAGGCATGAGAATTGCTTGAACCCAGGAGGCGGACGTTGCAGTGAGATGAGATCGTGCCATTGCATTCCAGCCTGGGCGACAGATCCAGACTCTGCCTCAAAAAAAAAAAAAAAAAAAAAAGGTGCAGATGGGTAGGTGCCAGCAAGGCTTTTGCTCAGGTGAACCTGGAGCAAATCAGATCCCCTGGCTCCCTTCCTCCTGAAGATATGAACTGTGTCCCTGAGAATTGGCTGGATGCAGATATCACTTATGGAGGAAAATGACTACTTAGCACTGTTCTGCAGATTTGGTATTTGCCCAAAGTGGCTCAAAGCATGGGGGCTCGGTTCCCTCATCTGTAAAATGGAGGTGATGGAGTTGCTGTATACACTCATGAGAGGACACAGAGGAAGCACAATGTGCCTGGTGTGTCATAAAAGTCCAGTAAATGGGCTGGGCGCGGTAGCTCACGCCTGTAATCCCAGCACTTTGGGAGGCTGAAGCAGGCGATCACGAGGTCAGGAGATGGAGACCATCCCGGCTAACACGGTGAAACCCCGTCTCTACTAAAAATACAAAAAAATTAGCAGGGCATGGTGGCGGGCTCCTGTGGAGCTGAGGCAGGAGAATGGCATGAACCCCAGGGGCAGAGCTTGTAGTGAGCCAAGATCATGCCACTGCACTCTAGCCTGGACGACAGAGCAAGACTCCGTCTCCAAAAAAAAAAAAGGCAAGTAAATGGAACCAGCAAGAGAAGTAGAATTGAGAATGCTCGGTTTGGAAGCTGGGAGGCCTGAGTGTGGCTCCACCCCAGATTCCAGGGTGACCTTGCACAGCCGCTTCCCTCACTACCACCAGATAAGCACTCCCGGCTTTGCTGCATGTTGGCGCCAGCCTCAGTCTTGTCCCTGCACAGCCACCTCCTGCCCTTGGGGACAATAGGAAGAGGCCACCGTCATAGCAAGAGGCTTCCGCTGCCCTGTTGCTGGGCCCCTCCTGCTTCTTATACAGCAGGCTACACTGCGGAGAATGGCAGGGGTACCTGGGGCCAACACACACTACAGCATACAAAAACACACACACTCACTACACACATACAACTTACACACACACCACAGCATACAAAAACACACACACTCACTACACACATACAGCTTACACACACATCACAGAATACAAAAACACACACTACACACATACAACTTACACACACACCACAGCATACAAAAACACACACACTCACCACACACATACAACTTACACACACACCACAGCAAACAAAAACACACACACTCACTACACACATACAGCTTACACACACACTACAGCATACAAAAACACACACACTCACTACACACATACAGCTTACACACACACTACAGCATACAAAAACACACACTCACTACACACATACAACTTACACACACACCACAGCAAACAAAAACACACACACTCACTACACACATACAACTTACACACACACTACAGCATACAAAAACACACACACTACACACATACAGCTTACACACACACCACAGCATACAAAAACACACACACTACACACATACAGCTTACACACACACCACAGCATACAAAAACACACACACTACACACATACAACTTACACACACACTACAGCATACAAAAACACACACACTACACACATACAGCTTACACACACACCACAGCATACAAAAACACACACACTACACACATACAGCTTACACACACACCACAGCAAACAAAAACACACACACTCACTACACACATACAACTTACACACACACTACAGCATACAAAAACACACACACTACACACATACAGCTTACACACACACCACAGCATAAAAAAATACACACTACACACATACAGCTTACACACACACCACAGCAAACAAAAACACACACACTCACTACACACATACAGCTTACACACACACCACAGCAAACAAAAACACACACACTCACTACACACATACAGCTTACACACACATCACAGCAAACAAAAACACACACACTCACTACACACATACAGCTTACACACACACCACAGCAAACAAAAACACACACACTCACTACACACATACAGCTTACACACACATCACAGAATACAAAAACACACACCACACACACTCACTACACATATACAGCTTACACACACACCACATACTCATCATACCCACATAAAACACACCACACACATACAGCCTTATCTAGGAGTCCACGGGATCCAAATGTCCAGTTGACCCCCACGTTCCCTTGGCCGGGCTGGGTACACAGTCAGTGCCCAGTCAGTGTTTACTGAACGGAGGAGTGAATGAATAAGTGAATGAATGCATGGGTAAGTGAGGCGGCATCTACTCCAGGAGTAGATGGATGGGTGGGTGGATGGATGGGCAGATGGGCAGGTGAACAAATGAAGAGCGTGCCGGGCTTGGCAGACAGCCTGTCTCCTGCAGAGGGAGGCCAGGCTCCCTCCCCATGCCCGCTTCACCAGCACTTTGTTTTCACGGCCCTGTGATTCCAGCCTGCAGACCCTCCCGGACTGACCTAGTGAGTGCTGTGACCACACAGTACAAGAGCAGAGCCCTGGGCCTGGCTCCTGGTGAAGGGTGCCTGAGCTGGAGCAGAGCTGACTCTGGCTGAGGAGAGAGGGAGACTGAGGCCCACTCTTCTCCCTTCCAGATCCTGCACGGCCGTCTCTCCTCTCATAGATCTCCTGTGCCCAGGTTTTTCTTTGTGTCTGGACATATTCACCCACCTCTGACCAGTCTAGGCTCTTCCAAGAACAGGACCCTACAGAGTTTCTGTGGAGATGTGCTGCCCAGGTCCCCTTCAAAGGAAGGACTTCAGCCAAATGCAATGGCTCACACCTGTAATCCCAACATTTTGGGAGGCCAAGGTGGGAGGATCACTTGAGGCCAGGAGAGTTCAAGACCAGGTTTGGAAACATAGTGAAATCCCATCTCTACAAGAAAAGGATTTTTTAATTAGCTAGGCACGGTGGCATGCACCTATAGTCCCAGCCACTCAGGAGGCGGAGGTGGGAGGATTGACTGAGCCCTGGAATTTGAGGCTGCAGTGACCTATGATCACACGACTGCACTCTGGCCCAGGTGGCAGAGTGAGATCCCATCTCCTAAAATAAAATAAAATAAAATAAAATAAAATAAAAATAATAAAATAGGAAGGGCTTCAAGACCTGCCTCAGCTGCAGAGAGCTGCCCTGGCTGAGGTCAGACCCTGGGAGAGGGGAGAGGGACTCAGAGACGGAGCAAAGGTGGGGATATGAAGGACCTGCATCACGGTTTGACTTCTTCCTCTGCCCAATCCTGCTTCTTCCTTCTCCCCTTTGTAGGTGTTGATCCCTGACAAATATCTTGCACCCGAACTTTGTCTCACTGTTCGCTTTTAGAGAACACAGCCCTCAAAAGTTCTCTTCCCTCCGTCTCCAGGGCCTCCCCACATGTGCCGTTCCCTTCTCTGTGCATCTCTGAAGGCCCTGCGTCGAGGGCTGGTGTCAGGAGTGTCCAGGACATGGTCCCAGGAGCTCCTGGACCTGGGCTGAGCCTCGCCCACCATGCTCCTCCCCATCCCTCTCCGTCAGCCTCACTCTCCCCACCACTTCCCCCTCCCCGCGTGCACCTCTCCAGCTCCAAGCCACTCTGAAAGCCCTTCCCATGGCAGCCACATGGCAAGGGCAGCCTGTCTGGACACCCTTAGAGGCCAGAGCCCCCCTAAAGCTCAGTCCTGCCCCCCTCAACAAACAGGTCCTGGGAGAGCCATCTATTCAGGGCTGGATACAGACATAAGAGCCAGGAGGCTCACAATTTTGCACCCTTCAAACCAAACTCCTTAAATATAGCATGGCATTTATTCCATGGCCATGGGAGAATGGGTTTTCTGTTAATAAAAACTGAATATCCCCTTATTTGTGATGAAAACAAGAGCTTTGAATGTAACATAACATTTTAACTTGTCTGGAATTATCTTTCAGTTCCTGATTTTTCTGTCACTCCGAAGTGACACAAGTCATTCACATTCTCTAAGAATAGGAGTGACCTGTTGGAATATAGCAATAAAGTCTCATTAAAAATATGTTTAAAATATCTTATTTCTGGCTTTCCTGTTAATAAAACATATTGTACTTTCTGTGGCTCTTATTTTCTCTTCTGTTTCCTTTTGTGGTTTTTCTAATCAGATTTGGAAAGGCCCATAAAAGGATATACATTTTCAATTCTAAGGTAAATAACTTGTTCTCAGGAAGCAGCTCTTTGGTTTCAGAATTTCAGGGCTGATTTCAGGCAACTGGCAGGGAGCAGGCCTCGAGGTTGGGTTCTGTGCAATGTGCAAAAGTAATCAATTAGGAGCAAGTAAGAAGCGGTTTCTAGAAATGTCCACTTGAGGGTGCTGCGTGCCCAGGTGGCAACAGAACCAGCATCATAGGCACACCGTTTACAATAAATTCCAGTGATATTTCAGTTCCTGGTGTAGATCAGCAGAGCCGGCCCACCGTGCACTCCGGCGCTGTCTGTTCACTCACTCCTCAGAGCTCTCCTAAGCCCCATCCTGTGGGTCAACCCCAGCTGGGCTGTCCCAATAACAAGGATCCCTGAGGCTGGAGGGCACAGAAGGCTGGAATGGGAGGAGACGGGAAGTTCACAGGTTACTGGAGGGGAAGGACAGGGAGAAGGCCCTGGGAGGAGGGGAAGGCCAGGGAAGGCTTGCTGAGGAGCGGGTGAGTCTGACCCATCAGCACAGCAAATCCTGGGGACTCGGGCGTCACATGAAGGTCCAGAAGTCCTGGGCACTTGGCACTGGCTGGGCATGGCGAACAGGCCCCGTGAAGAGAGAAGCTTCCTGGCGAAACGTGGCCACCGTGAAGCTGCGGCCAGGACCCCCCTGAGGATCCTGGGCCCTTGAGTCACAGCTGAAGCAGCAGAGGACGCAGGTGATGGCCACAGTCACCACGAACAGCACCACCACCACCCCAATCACTGCCGTTTCCATGGCCCACTGAGCAACCTTAGGTCCTCTCGGAGCCTTCGCTCCCATCCAGAACAGGAGGCTCTTCGCGATCGCAGGTGCCCCGTGCTCCTCCGGCGGCTCTCCTTCCGTCTCCTAAGAAGATGCTGCTCTGAGTCCCTGGGTCGCTCCTGCTCCAGGCCTTCGGGCGCTGCCACGTGGCCCCACTGCTGAAATCTCAGATGATCTCTGTCTATTTTCTAAGCCTCAGGCCATGCCTCCAAGAGCTGTGGTCAGCTCCATGTCAGCTTCTAGAAGAAGCACTGTCCTGGAAGACGTGAGCACAGATTCCCTGGACACAGAGAAGGTGGAGAGGAGGGGTCAGAAGACGTTGCACAGAGACAGCCTAGCCAGCGCTGGCCCTCCGGTGACGCCTACAGATTTCAAGAGCAAGTTACGCCCAGACCAAAGACAAAATACTCCCCCTACTATGGATGCAGGAGGAGCCCGGCTCCTCCCCAGGAGGGACCTTGGGCCAGTCCTTCAATTGGCCTATCTGCTGCCTCCCCAGCCCCTGGCCCTGTGCTGGGGGCAGGGACATGAGGAGGGAGGAAGGCATGCGCCAGCTCTGGGCAAGGCAGGGGACACTCACGGGTCACCCCAGGTGCCAGGGCCTTTAGTGGGGGCTGGAGGCAGGGGCAGGTTGCATTTGGCGTCCTTTTCTGCATGGCGCTGGGATCATGCAGTTTAGATAGAGTATCAGGTGCTTCCCCGGGAATCCCTGCCCTGTCCATGACCGTGGGGCTCTTTACCCGGAGGTCCCGGAAGAGCCTTCTTAGATGCCGGCCTCACCCACCCTCTTTGCTGCCTGCTTAGCCCGTTGCTCACATTCTTGAACTATTAAGATTTACCCTGGGCTCCCCAAAGGCCAGCCCTGGCTGTACCTGGTGCTGCAGCCTCCTGGCCTGGTGGCCGTCCCAGGGACCACGGCGTTCCTCCCTGGGTGCTGCAGCCTCTGTCCTGGTTGGAACTTGGCTCCGAGATGTCTGAGCAGCTGTGAGCACTTCCTGAATTCTTTCCTCCAATTGTGAGCGAGGGCCCAGGACCCACACTGCAGCCCTCCAACCCCCGCTCAGCAGTTATCCCGTCCCGCCATGCGCACCCCAGGCCTTTTCCACCCTCCTCCCTGCCAGGAGGTCAGGGGAATAAGCTAGGCCCAGGCAACTGAGTTAGTCTGCCAGGTGAGAGCCCTTTCACACCCAGCACCTCCTGAGACCCCCACCACTTCCAGAAAGGAGACTGGGCTATTAGCCCCACTTTGTCCATATTCTGGGAAACAGAGTAGTGAGAACAATAACTCCAGGCATGGGACCTCACCAGACATGATCTCATATAACCTCCCCAGCAACCCTGCATAGCGATATAGCCTCCATTTTATAGAAAAAGATCCTATGGTCATAGAAGTTAAATGACCTGCCCCCCATTCTGAATTAGCCATGTTAACAGGCACGAGCAATGGCCGAGGAGGGACCGCCCTCCCTCCACTCCTAGCTCAGTGCACTTTCCAGTTACCATGGGACCACAGAGCGACCATCTGATTCTGCGGTTTTAATGATCTGGGTGCAAAGTGCCAGAAAGGGCAGAGGGCTGGCCCAAGTTCACATAGCCTGGGTCCTTTTCAGTTTCTCCAAGGCCCAAGGGAACTTTCTTTAGTATCAGCATTAGGAAACTGGCACTTTGCACAGAATGGGAGAGCAACTTTTCAGAGCAAACGATAGCCTGTCATATTCTCAATCTGTCCCTTTTCTGAGATGATGAGACCATCTGGGCCCTGGGCTCCTCCTCCACATGGAGCAGGCTGTGGGCCATGACAGGAAGCCAATTCCTTGGATTGTTTGTATTAACTGGGATGACCAGGAGGAAGGAGACGACGGGCTGATCTGCAGGGCCTGTGGTTTCAGGTTGAGTTACCAACATCACCTCCTTAACTGGGGTGATAGAGGGCACCAGGAGACTATGCCTCAAGCTTTAACATTTGTTCCTTTGATTTCTCATCGCCTATTCTTCCTGTGTACACGCAGCCATAGGCCGCCTGCAGATTGTCTGAGTGGTTCCGCATTTTTGAACTGGAATAAAGGGCAATTGCTCAGCGGGTTCTCTCCTGCCCTGCATAGGCTTCCTTTTCCGTTTCCTGCTTTCGGGGAACCTCCTCCCCATCTTTGATTCATCTGTGAAATCAGCCTGGAGATGCCTGGGAAAGGGGCAGGGCTGCAGGGAGCAGGCTGGCAGGAATCCAGGAGGGGGATGGAGGGGGCTGGGCTAGGCAGGGCATGGGAATGGAGAAGGGGGTGGATTTGAAGGACACTGCAGAGAAAATCGACACTGCACGGCAGCCTAGGGTCAACTTTCCCAACCCAGAAACCTCAGGTGGGAGAAATCAGTGTGAATTTGCCTCCCTCTCTCTCTCACTCCCTCCTCCTGCAGCCCTCACAGAGAATCCACTGGGAAATAGAAAGGAAAGAGGACATTCTATTCCAGTGAGTCACCAGGTCCCTGAGTCTCTGGCCTGCTCTCCAGCCCCTCCCCACTGCCTCTCCTGGCCCCCAGTCCTTGTCTTCCCCCAATTCCCACCTCAGCTCACAGGCACAGGCTGAAGGCCTCAGAGCCAGGCTTCCTTCCTCGCTGTGGATCCCACTAGCTGTTCACAGAGCATATTCCAACGAGCCTCCAGGCTTCGGCACGTGGGCATCTCTGTTATCCACCCCATTGCAGAGAAGAGGAAAGTGAGACCCCAGCATTCTCCCAAGGCCATCCAACACCCTGCACCCCAGCACCACAGCCTCCACTTTAAAGAACTCCACTCGCTGCCTCCCAGCCCTCCCACCACACACAGGCACCAGCTGGGGCAGGATGGCTGAAAACGCAAGGCTTGGAGAAGAAACCCTGATCCAATTACCAAGGAAACTGGATTCAAGGCAGCCTGTGGATGGGGCTTCCTCGAGTTTCAGAGCTCAGTCTGCCCTGGACATGGGCTGAAAAAAGTACAGGGGCAGAGCCCTGGGGAGCCAGGCTCGCAGCGGCTCCAACCTTCCTCTCCCCGAGGACTGTCCCGCGGAAGGCCAGAGCCCTGCTGGTGCACACAGGACCTGCTGTGGGCAGGGTTTTGTGCAAACCCTGAATCCTCCCTCAGAGCTCAGACAGAGCCCACCCAATTCTTCCCACTCCACAACCAGCCCCTAAGAACCAGACAGAAGCCGCCTGCTCCAGCCACACGCTTCCCATCAGAGAGGGAGGTCCCAGGGCAATGAGGACACAGGCCAGGCAGCTCCCTCCCTCCCACTATGCTGCAATCAAGAGCCTCTTCACAAAAGCTTCTTAGTGGTTTTTATTTTCTTGGACTAAGGCACCGATGAATTGACTGTGCAGCCTCACACTGCCTTCTCCAAACCAAAAGGACATTCTCAGGGCCTCTCCCAGTGCCCTGCCCGCCAGAGGCCTGCAGCAGCCTGATGAGGAGGTCAAGACGGGCACTTCACATCCACTTGTGTGCTGGCTCTGCCAAGACACGCTTGTCATTTCTGGGGCTCACTGGGAGTCACTGTCACAAGACGGGCTGTCCAGCCCCGAAAGAGCACCCTTGCTCTCCACTCCCCAAACCCTTCAGCACTGCAGACCCAGTGTTCCTCCATTCTCTGCTGCCATAGTACACTGGGGCATGCCATGCAAATGCAGCTGGAGCAAGCCCCAGTCTATTGTTCCCCTCGTTCACCCCAGAGATGCATCCTTCCACATGGAAACATGGGGTCCACTTGTCCTGGGAACAGATGGGAGGGCAGGGGCAGCTGCTGTCCACAGGCACCGGCGACAGCAGCCTCAGCGAGCGTGGCGGGGATGGTGGCGGTGGGGGTGGTGGTGGTGGTGGAGGTGGTGAGGGGTGTGGCGGGGGTGGTGGTGGTGGTGGAGGCCCACATTCGGCACATGAGATACGTGGCCAGGATGACGGTGATGGTGAAAGATTCCCAGGTGGCCCCGCCGCCGGAAGGGCCAAGGCTGGGCCCGGCGGACTCGGTTTCCCCCTGCAGCTGTACGGTTCCTCTCCACGTCACAGTCCTGCCGTCCGTGGAAAAGGCAGGTGGCCAGCAGCAGCAGCAGCAGCAGGACCGCCACAGCAGCACCTGTGATCCATCCCACGAGGGCTGTGCTCCCCAGGAGGCCCAGCATCTGGGAGCCGGACAGTCCCTCTCTGCCCAGCAGCTCCTCACTCCTTTCTCCCCTTCAGCAGCCTCCGCTCAGCCCTCTCAGTCACTGAACTTTGTTGTCTCTGCTGCGGGCTGGAGAGCAGCCAGGGAATGTGGGCGAAGCCTGTTTGGACTTGCAACTGCTGGCCAAGGGTGAGGCCAGGCCGCTGTTAACTCTGAGGAGGCCTGGCAGGGAGGCCAGGTGGAGACAGAGGAGCTGTCAGGCTGGATCTGGTTGAGGGAGGAGCCCTGAGTCTAGAGGAAAGAAACCCTCCTGCTGCCTGGCTCAGTGACCTTCCCTCTCCGCACTTCAGTCTCCTCTCGTAGAGACTGTGTAGAACAGAGATGAACAACACGGGCTTTGGAGCCACGCCACTCACTTGCTCTGAGATTGTGCACAAGTTACTTAACCTCTCTGTCCTGTTTCCTCTTCTGTAAAATGGCTGATAACGGTTCCTTCCTCAGTAGGGTGTTCCGAGGACTAAAGGAGTTGAGATGCGTAAAGCAGCAACACCAGCTCCCGTCATGTTTGCAACTGATATTACTGCAATGGACTCCATGGCTCAGGAGACACTGACATCTGAGAGTCTGTGATTCCCTGTCCTGCAGCCTGCAGAGCCCTCCGGGGCTGAGTCAGGCTCTGTCAGATGAGCCATCCCGAGCTCAATGAGCTTGAGAAGCTCAGGGAGGCACCACAGGCAGATTTTGCCATCCAGGGAGGTCCTCCATCCGGCCTGTTCTGGGAGGCAGGAGGGTCTGGGTGTCCTCCCAAGCTTGCTGGGAGGCAAGAAGGAGGCCACTGAGCTCAGAGAGGGCAGGCACAGCCCAGCCTCCTGGTTCCCAGTTCAACAGTCTCAACTGGCCATAAATGGCATGCTCCTTGCTCTGTCACACCCTCCCTGCCCAGCAGTGATGAGTGCCATTCCTGCCTAGTGGAGCATTTACAGAGCGGCAGGATCTGAGCAGTACTGACTGTCCCTCCAAGCCCACCCGCCAGGCCCAAATCCCCTCTGTTCCTCCTGGGAGGCACCGTCCCATCCTGCTGACAGACCTCAGCAACAGGTGCTCACTCTCTCTCTGGGCAACCCTTTCTGCTGTGGGCATGCTGGGCTGTTCTCCAAGCTCTTCCTCACATGCAGTGGGGCTCCCCAAAGCCCCAGCTCTGTGTCTGGCTCTGCAGGGTCCCTCCAGGCTGAGTCCCCAGCCCCTCCCTCCAGGCTCATCTCCCTACCGCCTGGAGGAATGTCTGCAGACACCGCAAGGCTGGTTCTCTGAGTTCTGGCAGCACCTCCACCCTGTGATGTTGGGCAAACCCCTTGCCCTGATCCAGCCTGTCTCCTCTGCAGAACTCCCGGAGCAAGAGGTGACCTCCAGGGACCCTTCCCCCTCTGACCTCAGTCTGAGGTGAGTTCTCTTAGGGAGGCCTCAAACCCTTAATGAAAACCCTCACCAGATGAAAAGGCTAAACATTCCCTTCAACCAAACTGGGCTCAGGGGGCAGCAGGTCTAATGAATCCTGGCACTTCTTTGGCCCTTGGGGGAGCTACTTGAACTTTTAATGATGCTGGAGTAAGAACTCCTCCTGCAGACTCCTGGGGCCCTGGGAGCCCGGCTGCCTTCCCTAGGGAAGTTAAGGAGGGAAGTCTGTTGTGAGGAGGAGGAGGAGGAAGGCAAACAGGGGATTTTCGTCCTCAGAACTTCTCCAGGAAGACTCCCACCCCACACCAGCCGCTGGCGGCGGGGCAGGACCTTACAACTATGAACTTGAAGAACTTCAGTCAGCTCAAACGGCCCCTTGGAATCACCCAGACTCAGCCTTCACTGACAGATGGAGAAACTGAAGCCAGAGAAGGGAAACACTTGCCTAAGTTCTCCCAGCCTCGTGCGCTAATCTATACAGCAGGTACTCAACAGAGCACCATCCCTGCAGTGAGGGAGCCGTCCAGAGTGACAGCCTGAGATCAGCAGGGCCTTCCACAGAGACAGCGGGAAGATGAGGTGGAGATGTGAATAAACCTGGAGGGCGCAGGGGTTGGGAGTGCCCCCTCACACATACACATACACACGACATCTGTTTCCTTAGGTGCAGGTTCACTCTCCATCTGGGTAGTAGGATCCCAAAGTGAACATTTGTTTAGATGCTTTGGGCACTCCTGGGGGCAGTGAGGGACAGCCATTGAGAATACAGTCCTCCATGACTTAACCCATTTATGCCTAAGGTTGCAATTTTTTGAATTTTTGCAATCAGACCTTGGCAATGACCTTGATCAGTATGATAAAAATAACTCCCACATGCTTAGTGTTCCAATAATGGAACACTAGGCATAAATGTTAAGAAGTGACACAGCCAGGTGCAGTAGCCTGTAATCACAGCATTTTGGGAGGCTAAGAGGGGTGGATCATTTGAGCCCAGGAGTTCAAAACCAGCCTGGGCAACATGGCGAAACCCTGCCTCTATAAAAAATACAAAAGATTAGCTGAGCATGGTGGCACATGTCTATAATCCCAGCTATTCAGGAGGCTGAGGCAGGAGGGTTGCTTGAGCCTGGGAAGTTGAGACTGCAGTGGACTGAGATCACACCATTGTGCTCCAGCCTGGGCAACACAGCAAGACCCAGTCTCAAAAAAAAAAAAAAAAAAAAAGAAGTGACAGAGACCTTCTTGGAGGCTTGACTGTATACTGTACATGAGGGTTTGCAAGACTGATAACTTTAAGGACACTGTGGCTGTGTTTCCGGATCCCCCGCTTCAGAAAAGCTTGTCATTGTATTTCTTCCTCAGGGTTGGGACTTCCTAGCCAAGGAATGGGAGTTCTAGACCACACAGCTGATGGGTAAGCTTTTTGAAACTCATATTATTTAGCTTCGTGCCCATACTTTCCAGGGTACACAGACTCATGCACATGCTTGTAAATCAACATTGCTCTGTGGGAAAACTTATACACCAATAACTGTGTGTGCACACGCTCATGCAAATATGCACAGGTGAATACAAGTTCCAGACAACTCACAAATATGTGCTTGTAGTAGCTGCAGGTGGTTCTTGGAAGTCCAGCCATAGCAACCACATTGTTTTCACTAATTGGTGGCACCACCTAGTGGTGACACTGTAAATAAATCAGTTTTGTATTCTGACCTGTCAAAAGTTACAGTATCTGATGGTTGTTTACAGATCATAATTTGGACCCGTGCATTTAAATCCTCCCTATTCCAAATTCCTATTGAAACAGACAAAGAGATAAAAATCCTATTCCACTCTAGAAATCAGTAAAAAAAATCACATTACTGGCCCATAAACTTCAAGGAATTTCAACAAGATACAGTGCAAATAGAACCAGGCTGATGAGTATATTGACTAAAGAAGGACATTCCTGGGAAATAATGGAGGATACGCCCCAGGAGAGTCTCCCTAAAGCCCCGTAATAGACAGCCAGGACTAGGAAAAAGGCTGAGATGGGGATAAGCGGGAAAAAAACTGAGCAACCTTGGGAATTGCGAGTGCCTGCTCGCAGAGAAGGTGGCCAAGGCTCAGCTCCTCTTTTGGTTTGCACAGAAAAGCAAGGACATTGGCCAGCAGGTTTCTAACCCAGGTGCTCATGCCAGTTAGAGAAGGGGGGACATTCTTCCAGCCGACCTTGAACTGCCTCAACAAACAGTGAGAAGAAGTTGCGCAGCAGAACAGCAAACTTCTCTCCTCTTCTCAGAAGCTCTTCCTGCCCTAATCATGGTCGATTGGATCTCCCAATCTAGAAAACTAAACTATAAATATTCCATGTTTCTTCTTTTCCCATTGCCTGGAACCAACACGTTTGAAAATGATCTACATATCTTTTAGAATACCCATTTCAAATCTCAATTCCAAACAAATGTAGATCTAGGTCCCTCCATAAAGTGAGCAAATATATGATAATTTCTAGACATACGAAAAAAGATGTAAGTTATTATATCTTTATCATTAGGGTTACTAGAATCTAAGAAACAAAAACAGTAAAATTCTGTAATTTATACTGTAAATAGAATTCCAAAAGTCAACCCATATATGAATATGGAAAATATGCAAAAACAGGAAATTTATTTTCCAATTAAAAACCAAATCTGGAAAGATTGCTTTGAGAACTTTCCCTATAACTCAGAAATAAATAAATAAATAAAGAGGCTAAAAGAGAGAGAAAGAAAAGAAAGATCCAGAAATCAAATATACCTATATAATAGGCATTCCAGAAATAGAGAATAGAGCCCGTGGAGAAACAATCATTAAAGAAATATAAAGAAAATTTCCTGACTTGAAGAATTAACTCTTTAGATCAAAAAGTGACTTAGTACTCAGCAAACTATCTATCTATCTGTCTATCTATCTATCTATCCATCTATCTATTTAGAGACGGGGTCTCATTCTGTCAACCAGGCTACAGTGCAGTGGCACAATCACAGTTGGCTCACTGCAGCCTCGACCTCCTGAGCTCAAGTGATCCTCCAACCTCAGCCTCTCAAGTAGCTGAGACTACAGGCGGATCCCATCATGCCGGCTAATTTTTTAAAAATTTTTTGTGGAGACAGGGTTTTGCCATGTTGTCCAGGCTGGTCTTGAACTCCTGGGTTCAAGCAATCCTCCCAACTTGGCCTCCAAAGTGCTGTGATTATAGGCGTGAGCCACCACGCCCCGCTAAAGAAACTATTTAAAGAGGCCAGATCATCTAGTTATATCCAGGTGAAATTTTAACTTTAAAACAATAAAGAGAAACCAAATGGTACAACCATCATGGAAAACACTTTGAATTTTCATATAAAACTAAACACACTCTACCAGCTGTTTACTGATTCCGACTGTTTACCAGCAATCACACTCCTTGGAATTTACCCAAATTAGCTGAAAACTTGTGTTCACACAAAAATCTGCATGCTTATAGCATGTTTATAGCAACTTTATTCATAATTGACAAAACTTGGAAGCAACTGAAATGCCCTTCAGCAGGTGAATGGATAAATAAACTGTGGTACACCAGACAATGGAACATCATTTAGCACTAAAAAGAAATGAACTCTCAAGCCATGAAAGAACATGGAGGAAACTTAAATGCATATTGCTAAGTGAAAGAAGCCAATCTGAAAAGGCTACATATGTGTGATTCCGACTATTTAACATTCTGGAAAAGGCAAAACTATGGAGATAGTAGAAAGATCAGTGGTTGCCAGGGGCTGGAAGGAGGCAGGAGGTAGAGCACAGGGAATTTTTTAGGGCAGTGAAACTATTCTATAAAACACTATGATGGTGGATACGTGTTATTTCAAAATTTGTCAAAATCCATAGAATGTACAACACCAAGAGTGAACCCTAACGTGAACGATGGCCCTTGGGTGATGATGTGTCAACATAGAGTAGATTACAACAAATGTACCTCTGTGTTGTGGAACGCTGATAATAGCGAAGGGGGGATTCATATGGGAAATCTCTGTAGCCTCCACTCAAATTTCCTGTGAACCTAAAACTGCTCTAAAAAATAAAGTCTACTTTTTTAAAAAACAAAAGGGGTAAATAAAATAATCCTACAAACCACAACAGGAGCTGTTTGAACTGTTTCAAAAAATAAAGAGACCTTTTTTTATTTTTTAAATTCATATAACTTACTTTATAAAACTAGCATAACCCTGATACCAAACCTAACAATCATAGCACAAAAACACTACAAATCTCAGAATTCTTTTTTTTTTTTTTTTGAGATGGAGTCTCGCTGTGTCGCCCAGGTTGGAGTGCAGTGACGCAATCTCGGCTCACTGCAACCTCCACCTCCCGGGTTCAAGCGATTCTCCTGCCTCAGCATCCTGAGTAGCTGGGACTACAGGCGTGTGCCACCACACCTGGCTAACTTTTTGTATTTTTAGTAGAGACGGGGTTTCACTGTGTTAGCCAAGACGGTCTCGATCTCTTGACCTCGTGATCCGCCTGCCTTGGCCTCCCAAAGTGCTGGGATTACAGGCGTGAGCCACCGCGCCCGTCCCAAATATCAGAATTCTAACAAATTAATATTATATCCCAGAACATTGGGAGACGAATACTCCATAAAATAAATTTATTCTAGGAATGTGAGGGTGGTTTCATGTTTTAAAAATATGTTGTAATTAATTACATTAATATGTTAAAAAAGTAAAACCATATAATCATCTCAACAAATGTCAAAAAGTATTTAATAAAATTCACTATGCATTCCTGATAAATACAGGGATACCTCATTTTTATTGTGCTTCACAGATATTGCTTTTTTTTTTTTCTTTTTACATATTGAAGGTTTGGGCTGGGCTCAGTGACTCATGCTTGTAATCCCAGCATTTTGGGAGGCTGAGGCAAGTGGATCACTTGAGGACAGGAGTTTGAGACCAGCCTGTCCAACATGGTGAGGCCAACCCCATCTCTACTAAAAATACAAAAATTAGCCAGGCATGGTGGCTTGCACCTGTAATCCCAGCTACTCAGGAAGCTGAGGCACAAGAATTACTTGAACCCGGGAGGTAGAGGTAGCAGTGAGCTGAGATTGCACCACTGCACTCCAGCCTGGGTGACAAGAGTGAGACTCTGTCTCAAAAATAAACAAAAACAAATTGAAGGTTTGTGGCAACCCACTTTGAGCAAGTCTGTCGACACTATTTTCCAACAGCATGTGCTCACTTCATGTCCCTGTGTCAAACATTTTAGTAATTCTCACAATATTTCAAATGTTTTCATTATTATTACATCTGTTATGGTGACCTGTGATCAGTGATCTTTGATGTTACTACTGTAATTGTTTCGGGGCACCATGAACTGCGCCCATATAATATTATTCAATAAATGTTGTGTGTGTTCTGGCTGCTTCACTGACTAGCCTTTCCTCCATCTCTCTTCCTCTCCTAGGGTTTTCCTATTCCCTAAGACACAACAATATCAAAACAAAGCCAATTAATAATCCTACAATGGCCTCTAAATGCTCAGTGAAAGGAAGAGTCACATCTCTCACTTTAAATCAAAAGCTAGAAATTATTAACCTTAGTGAGGAAGGCATATCGAAGGCCAAGACAGGCTGAAAGCAAAGCCTCTTGCACCAAGCAGTTAGCCAACTTGTGATTGCAAAGGAAAAGTTCCTGAAGGAAATTAAAAGTCCTACTCCAGTGAACACATGAGTGACAAGAAAGCGAAACAGCCTTATTGCTGATATGGAGAAAGTTTGAGTGGTCTGGATAAAAGATCAACCAGCCACAACATTCCCTGAAACCAAAGCCTAATCCAGAGCAATACCCTAACCCTCTTTAATTCTATGGAGGCTGAGAGAGGCGAGGAAGCTGCAGAAGAAAAGTTGGATGCTAGCAGAGGCTTAAGGAAAGAAGCCAAATTCATAACATAAAAGTACAAGGAGAGGCAGCACTTGGACTTTTGTGACGTTGAAGCTACAGCAAGTTATCTAGAAGGTCCACCTAAAATACCTGATGAAGGTGGCTACACTAAATAACTGATTTTTAGTGTAGATGAAGTAGTCTTCTATTGGAAGAAGATGCCATCTAGGACTTTCATAGCTAGAGAGAAGTCAATGTCTGGCTTCAGAGCTTCAAAGGACAGGCTGACTCTCTTGTTAGGGGCTATTGCAGCTGATGACTTTATGTTGAAGCCAATGCTAATTTACCATTCCCAAAATCCTAGGGCCCTTAAGAATTATGCTAAATCTACTCTGTAGATTTATAGATGCCTGTGCTCTATAAAAGAACAAACAAAGCCCAGATGACAGCACATCTGTTTACAGCATGGTTTATGGCATATTTTAAGCCCACTGTTGACACCTCCTACTCAGAAAAGAAGATTCTTTTCCAAATATTACTGCTCATTGACAATGGACCTGGTCATTTAAGAGCTCTGATGGAGATGTATAAGGAGATAAATGTTGTTTCCATGCCTGCTAACACAACTTCCATAATGCAGCTTATGAATCAAGGAGTAATTTCAATTTTCAAGTCATCTTATTTAAGAAATGCATTTTGTAAGGCTATAGCTGCTATACATAGTGATTCCTTTGATGAATCTGGGCAAAGTAATCTTTTGTGAAAGGAAGGCTTGATCAACATGGCAAAATTTATTAACAACTTATTTTAAGAAATTGCCACAGCCACCTCAACCTTCAGCAACCACCACCTTGGTCAGTCAGCAGCCATCCACGTCAAGGCAAAGTCCTCTACCAGCGAAAATATTACAAATCACTGAAAGCTCAGGTGATCATTAGCATTTTTTAGCAATAAGGTATTTGTTTTTTTGAGATGGAGTCTCCCTTTGTTGCCCAGGCTGGAGTGCAATGGCGTGGTCTCGGCTCACTGCAACCTCTGCCTCCCAGGTTCAAACGATTCTCCTGCCTCAGCCTGTGGAGTAGCTGGGACTACAGGTGCGTGCCACCACATCCGGCTAATTTTTTGTTGTTGTTGTATTTTTAGTAGAGATGGGGTTTCACTATGTTGGCCAGGCTGGTCTCAAACTCCTTACCTCATGATCTGCCCACCTCAGCCTCTCAAAGTGCTGGGATTACAGGCATGAGCCACTGCACCCAGCCAATAATGTATTTTTAAATTAAGATATGTACTTTTTAGACATAATGCTAATGCACACATAATAGACTATAGGATAGTGTAAGCATAATTTTTTATGCACTGAGAAACCAAAAAATTGGTATGACTCACTTTATTGCAGTGATTTGGAACTGAACCTGCAGTACCTCCAAGGTACTCCTGTGTTGCAAATGAGTAAAACAAAAAAAGTGTACTATTAGGAGGATACTCTTTTAACATTATTAAAAGGAAAAATATCTCAAACCAGTAGTCAACATCATGATTAATGGTGAAAAAAAATAGGCCTGTAATCCCAGCACTTTGAGATTCCTGTTGAAACCAGGAACAAGCTAGAATGCTTACTTCCACCATTTTTAGTTAGCTTAATACAATAACAATGTATAATAAAAGGTAGAAATATTAGAGATGATGTGACTACATATCTGGAAAACTTGAAAGAATATACTGGAGAACTATTAACACTAATAAGAGTTAATTTAAAAATTCAAATTTTTAAATAAAACTTAATTTAAATTTTTGACCAGGAGCAGTGGCTCATGCCCATAATCCCAGCACTTTGGGAGGCTAAGGCAGGCAGATCATTTGACTCCAGGAGTTCAAGACCACCCTGGCCAACATGGTGAAATCCCATCTCTAAATAATAATAATAATAATAATAATAATAATAATAAATTTAGATTCTAAAATTTAAAAATAAAAATACAAAATCGGTGATTTTCCTACATAACAGTAATTACTAATTCAAAGACAGAATGAAGGCATTATTGAAACTTAAAACAAAAATTATAAAACTTCTAAGAACAAACAAGAATAAACTTAACAAGAGATGTGGAAGACCAATGAACAAAAGAAAAAGCAAGTCTTCACTGACAGCTGTGAAAGAAGACCTGACTAACCGAAGCACCACACCATGTGTCTGAAAGGGAGGAGCCCGCATTATAGTCCAGGCTGCACTTCAGGGGATATGGATCCTGTGAGACTTGCAAACAACCTGCCACAAGCATCTGTTAAATAAATTCTTATATGCTATAGAGGTAATATTTTTGAAAAGTAGTAATATACTTTTTTTGAGATAGGATCTTGCTCTGTTGCCCAGGCTAGAGTGCAGTGGCATGATCAGAGCTCACTGCAGCCTCTACCTCCTCCCAAACAATCCTCCCGCCTCAGCCTCCCAAGTAGCTGGGACTCCAGGTGTGTGCCACCACGTCTGGCTAACTTTTTTATTCTTTGTAGAGACGTGGTCTCGCTATGTTGCCTAGACTGATAACCTGCTCTTTAAAGTTACTTTTCCAAATATGTAAGTTTCTTCCTAGTTGTTCCAGAGCATTTGTCTGGAGAGAGAGTTGAATTATTACAAAAAGAATGCAAGGAGAAGGACTTTAATATGCATGCAGTCTTTGACCTTCAAAATTGGACTTTGCCCTGTAAGTCAAGCCAGTTTCCTAAGAGGATTTTCCAAATTCTTTTTTCTCTCCCTTTCAACACACTGAATCAAGGACCAAACGAGGACCCAGCCCATGCAGATCTCCTATAACGTAGAAAGCTCCTCCATTCCACATGCGACAGCCATGTAGCCGAAGTTTGAAGCTCTAAGGTAGATGGAGGCCATGATATCCAGGCCTGGGAGAAGCCTGGTTCCTTCTGGCCCCAAAGGATGATGGGAAGGAGAGAGAAGAAAGGCATGAAGTGCAAAATGTGTGCAGCAGCTGCTAGGGAGCTTCAAAAACAAATGGGGAAGGCTACAGGAAGACAGGGCTAGAGGTGAATACACTGAGGCACTGATGTTATTTGGATGGGGAGTGTGGTCTGCAAAATCTAGGAATTCATGAAAATGTGACCTCATTTGTACATGCAGGGTGGTTAGTGCTGGCAATGTTTGTGTTACACCTATAAACACGCACAGACAGAAGTCTGAAGAGCTACAAGATGCAATCTTTATAGGGCTTCCTCTGAGCAGTGAGTTTGCAGGTGACTGCTTTTTATTTGGCATTTCTACATTTCTAAAACTTGCAACAATAAACATTTTACTTGTATAATAATGAAAGCAACAAAAGTTACAGCACCTTTAGAAAAATATTCAGAAGCATGCCCACCAAGTAGAACAGGTCTGCAAAGTGATCCACCTATTCACCAACGAAGAGAGCAGCTAGACCCCAGAATCATAAGCTTCATTGGTGTCATTTTAAAGATGCCAGCCAGGCGCGGTGGCTCATGCCTGCAATCCTAGCACTTTCGCAGGCCAAGGGCGGCGGATTGCCTGAGCTCAGGAGTTCGCAACCAGCCTGGGCGACACAATGAAACCCCATCTCTACTAAAATACAAAAAAATTAGCCAGGTGTGGCGGCGTGCGCCTGTAGTCTCAGCTACTCAGGAGGCCAAGGCAGGAGAATCGCTTGAACCCGGGAGGCAGAGGTTGCAGTGAGCCGAGATCGCGCCACTGTGCTCCAGCCTGGGTGACAGAGCGAGACTCTGTCTCAAAAAAAAAAAAAAAAGATGCCAACAGGTGGAAGAGGTCTCCTAGATTCACTGTCCTTGGGGATGTGTGGGAGCTGATTAATCCAAGGGGACTGCTTCTCCTGCCTTCCCTGGGCAGCATGTCCATGGGCTTTGAGACATGTATATGCAGTAAACATAGTGAACTTTCTTGAGCCTAAGTTTGCCCTCATGCACAACGAGGGAAGAACTGGAGACAGATTGAATCTGTGCAGTCTAAGATTTATTGCTCTCTGGATTTTCAAGTCTCTGTAATTTTCTGAAATCATTATCTAAAGATAATTGTGACACTTAGAATTATATTCATTGATATAACTAACATCTGTTGAACTAGACTCTGTGCCTGGTGCTGAGGCTGGGTAGAAAAAAGACAATCCATGCCTTCCAAGAGCTTTTTACCTAGGACAGGAGACAGAAATATAAATTATTACAACACACTGGGTAAATTCTGGGACCTAAATATTCACAAGGAAAGCACAAAAGGAGTCATTCATAAGCAATAATCTCCTTTCCTTTTCCTCCCCAACTATTTTAATAATTGCTAGAATAATTACACTTTACAAATGTATCTTTAGATCTCACAACAAACCTATTGTCCTCACATTACATAGGAGGCTTAGAGAGTTAAAGCTCTCACTGTTGCCCGGCATGGTGGCTCACCCCTGTAATCCCAGCACTTTGGGAGGCCAAGGTGGGTGGATCACCTAAGATCAGGAATTCGAGACCAGCCTGACCAACATGGTGAAACCCCATATCTACTAAAAATACAAAAAAATAGCTGGGTGTGTAATCCCAACTACTCAGGAGGCTGAGGCAGGAGAATCGCTTGAACCTGGGAGCAGAGGTTGCAGTGAGCCGAGATCGTGACACTGCACTCCAGCCTGGAGGATACAGTGAGACTCTGTCCCCCAAAATAACAAATAAATAAATAAAGCACCCATTCTGGGTCACGCAGTAGTAAATGACAGAGCCAGAATCAAGTGCAGACCTGTCTGACCCCAAAGCCTACCTCTAACCCAGAACAATATTGTGCTAGGCTGAGAGATGTAACCGAGTATGATGCTTCACTCAGAAAGCTTGCTCTCTGATGGGAAAGAGAAGTCATGTCTCCGAGAATCCACAGGAGAGGAAAATCAGGACACAGGCATAAGAGGATAATAAAGAGGAAAAGGAGAGAAGCTTTCAAGTTCTTTTGCCCTGAAATTTGAAAAAGCTCCTGATTAAGCTTTTGTAGAACAATGTTCAAAGAGATAATAATTTCCTGAGTGGGTTTTCAACCTGTCCTACACACATATAAAAAGAAACACTTCTAAAAAGTAGACAATAATCAAAAAATGTTATGGAGAGATGGTTGGATAGACAAATTGATATCTGATAACTGTAGCAAGTAGTTAATTATAGAGACTAGTGTTAGGTATATTCAACTGTACAATTATTTCAACCTTTCTGTGTGTTTGAAATATGTTTGAACTTTTCTCTATGTTTCAACGTTTCTATATGTTTGAAATAGAAGAAAACACACAAAAAATGTTGGGAGAAAAAAGTAGGCAATAGCTGTGGGAGAAAGTAAGTGAATAGAGCTTTCTAGTGCTGTGCAATATGGTACCTACTAGCCACTGGGCACTTGAAATGTGGCTAGTCTGAGTTCAGATTTCTGTAAGTATAATATACACTCCAGGTTTCAAAGACTTAGTACACAAAAGAATGTAAAATATGTCATCAGTAACTTTTAAATCTTGTCTACATGTTAAAATAATCGTATTTTTTATATAGTGAGTGAAATAAAATGTTATTGAAATTCATTTCAACTGTTTTGTTTTACTTTTCTAGTGTGGCTACTAGAAAATTTTAAGTTCTGTTGCTTGCGTTGTATTTCTACTGAATAGTGGCACACCTCACACCTAGATGAATCAAACGTAGTCACTGATCTCAGAGAGTAGAAGGTCTAGGTCCTGTGGACAAAACAAGCCTAAAAATCATCAGATGATTTCAGCACACTGTAATCTCAGTGACTTTCTTGCTTGTGCATGTCCACTAGGTGCATTTGGATTAGGCTTGGGGCATAACTACCTTCCTAGAGAATACTTGGAAATATGTGGGGGTATTTGGCGTTATCAGGATGACTGTGTAAGTATTTAGTGTGCAGGATCCAAGCATGACAAATATCCTTCAATGAGTGTGATGGTCCCATCGGAGGAAGACTTGTCCTGCCCAAAACATCAGTAGTGCATCTGCTGAGAAACCCAAAAGTAGAGGAAAAGTAACACTCCCCTTTCTTTCCTCTGGTTGAGGACTCTGAGGTCTGTTCTCCATCCCACATTAGGGCAATATTATTATTTCTTTTTTTTTTTTTTTAGATGGAGTCTCACTCTGTCCTCCAGGCTGGAGTGCAGTGGCGCGATCTTGGCTCACTGCAACCTCTGCCTCCCGGGTTCAAGTGATTTTCGTGCCTCAGCCTCCCAAGTAGCTGGGATTACAGGCACCTGCCACCACACCTGGCTGACTTTTTTTGTATTTTTAGTAGAGATGGGGTTTCACTATGGTTGGCCCGGCTGGTCTCGGTCTCCTGACTCAGGTGAATCACCCACCTTGGCCTCCCAAAGTGCTAGTATTAAAGGCATGAGCCACCCACATGGCCAGCAATATCATTATTTCTATGGAGTCAAGAACAAGGAACTTCTTGGGATACTGAGTCACATAATCCAATTCCATGCCTCCTTAAGGGTAGGAAAAACACCTGGGACAGTCAGGGACACCCAAGGGATTGCCTCCCAGCAGGAAACCTGTCTGATTATGGAGACTGCCAATAGCAAGTTTCAGTTAACCCAGACTAATTGGGCTGCTGGGAGGCTGTCCCCAGAGCTCAGCATGCCAGCCTCCAGCATCAGACCCTAAAGTGCCATGGTGGCAGAGCATTTCTGGGGACAGTACCCAGTGAAAATGAGTCACTTCTCTGGCCTAATCTCAGGAGCTGGAGCTATGGGAGTTGGAGAGTGTGTGGGTGTCCCGTGTAACTCAAATTGAAGGACTTGGAGTTCCCAAACCTCAGCAAATCCCAGAAAGCTTTGGTTGGGGAACAGGTAAGGGTGGGAGGACTCCAAGAGGAGAAGAGGATCACTGTCAGCTTGTGAAAAGATCAGAAATCCATTCCCAGGAGGAGGTTCAGAGGTCCGGGCAAGAGATGATGGGTACCCATGTCACAGCAGTGGCAGAGACAGCAGCAGGTGGAACAGATTTCAAATCCATATCTATTTTTGAGAGGGAATTAAAAAGACTTTCTGAGTCATTTGATGAGGAGAACTGAGGGGAAGCAGGAGCCAAGCATAATTCCTATGTATCTGGATTGGGCAACCGTGTGGTAAAACAGGCAGGAGTAACTTTTTGAGGAACTTGCCAGTGCAGGCGAAGAGAGAGATGAGGCAGCAGCTGAAGGAGAGAATTATGCCAAAGAAGATTTTTACTTTAAAGGTGCAAGAAGATTGAGCTTTATATTCTCAGTAGAGTCACCAGAGGAGAGGGTCAGGACTCACAGAATGAGGTCCCCAGAGAAGAGAGAGGAATTAGAGTCAGGGAGAGGTGGAGTAGGATGTTTTGAGGTTGATGTTTTGTCTCAGTACCCAATGTCATGAGTCTCCCGGTTTCTAGAAGCTTGACATGACCCTCCTTGGGCCTCACTTCTCTCTCTCTTTATACCCATATTAAAAAAATTTTTTTTTCTTGAGACAGGGTCTTGCTGTGTCACCCAGGCTAAGTGCAGGGGCACAATCACAGCTCACTGCAGCCTTGACCTCCCAGGCTCAAGCAATCCTCCCACCTCAGTCCCCCAAATAGCTGGGACTGCAGGTGTGTGCCACCGTGCCTGGATGTGTGTGTGTGTGTGTGTGTGTGTGTGTGTGTGTGTGTGTGTGTGTGTAGATAGGGTTTCACCATGTTGTCCAGGCTGGTCTCGAACTCCTGGGCTCAAGCGATCTGCCTGCCTCAACCTCCCAAAGTGCTGGGATTACAGGCGTGAGCCACTGCACCTGGCCAAAAAAAAAATTTTAAGCCTATGTGCTATGTACTAGAAAAGTCTGAAACACAAGACTAGTTAAAGAAAAGTGGAAAGCAAAAGGATACAAAAGATATATAATGTAGGCTGAGTGCAGTGGCTCGTGCCTGTAATCCTAGCACTTTGGGAATCTGAGACAGGAAGATCACTTGAGGCCAGGAGTTTGAGACCAGCAGTTTGAGACCAGACTGGGCAACATGCCAAGACCCTGTCTCTACAAAAAAAATTTTTTTTAATTAGCCAGGCATAATGGCATATGCCATTCAGAGTCCCAGCTACTCAGGAGGCTGAGGTGGGAAGGTTGCTTGAACCCAGGCGGTCAAGGCTGCAGTGAGCCATCTTCCTGCCACTGTACTCCAGTCTGGATGACAGAGCAAGACTCTGTCTCAAAAGGAAGAAAAAAGAAAAGAAAAGAAAGAAAGAAAAAGAAAAAAGAAATATAAGGCAAATACTAATGAAAAGAAAACTAGTATAATTATATTAATAATAAACCAAGTAAATTTTAAGGCCAAATGAGATAAAGAGAGTCTGTATGTAAATATAAAAGATAATTTCCACCAGGAAGATATACCAATTCTAGTCTCATATGCACCTAAAACATAGTCTCAAAATATGTAAAGCAAACACTTCTAGAACTATCAGGAGAATTTGACAAATTCACAATGAATAAAAAAATTCTAGCACATATCTTTAAGTAATTCAGAGCCAAAAAGTCAGCAGATATTTAGATTTAAACAAATTAATTATAAAGTTTGATAAAATGAACATATACAGGAACATTACTCTCAACAAACAAGACACACGATCGATTTTCAAGCACACAGAATATGTTTATGAAAAATGACCAGAGAGCAAGTCGTAAAGCAAGAATAAAAATGTTTTTTCCTGTTGCTGCTGTAACCAATAACAAAAAGAAAAAACTTTTTAAGGATGGATATCATACAAACCACATTCTCTGACCACAAGGAAATTACATTAGAAATTCAGCTAAAATCAATTTTAAAAATTAAAAGGTTTACACAAAAATATTATTCATTGAGAAATTAAGAAAAATACTTCTGAAATAATTAAAAGAAGTAATAATGGAAATTAGAAATTACTTGGAACCTGACAGAAACAAAATACTATATGTCAAAGCTCATAAAATTAAAATTAAATGAAATGACCATTTATATTAGGAAAAAAGAAAGTCTAGGATTTAATGAGTTTAAAAATTGAAAAAAGACCAACAGAATAAATACAGGAAAATAAAAGAAAGGAAATAATTAAAATAAGGGTAGTTAACAGAACCAAAAATTGATTCTTTGAAAAGCCTAATAGAATTAAGAAAGTTTGGGAAATATTTATTAAGAAACAAAAAGAAACCAGGCACAGTGGCTCACACTGATAATACCAGCATCTTGGGAGATAGAGGTGGGAGAATCACCTGAGCCCAATAGTTCAAGACCAGCCTAGGCAACATAGTGAAACCCCATCTTCACAAAAAATTTAAAAAAAAATTTTTTTTAATTAGCCAGGCATGGTGGCACCTGCCTGCTGTCTCAACTACTAGGGAGGCAGGGGCAGGAGGATCATTTAAGCCCAGGAGTTTGAGTTTGCAGTGAACTGTGATCATGCCACTGCACTACAGCCTGGGTGAGAGAGCAAGACCCTGTCTCAAAAGGAAGAAAATAAATAAAATAAAATAAAAAAGGAAAGGAAAGAAACAAAAACAGTGAAAGCACAAATAAAAATTTTTAAAAAGGATATCACAGATACTTCATATATTTTAAAACAAATGAAAAGATACAGCAAGAGGAAGTAAGGAAATAACAAACATTGGAGTAGAAACTAATGAAATAGAGAATAGAAAAACTAGAGAAAATTAACAAAACCACAAGTTGGATTTTTTTTCTTTTCTTTCTTTTTTTTTTTTTTTTTTTGAGACAGGGTCTCACTCTGTCACCCAGGCTGGAGCACAGTGGCACAATCTCGGTTTACTGTAACCTCCACCTCCCAGGCTCAAGTAATCCTCCCACCTCAGCCTCCTGAGGAGCTGGGACTATAGGCCTACACGACCATGCCCAGCTAATTTTTGTATTATTAGTAGAGACGGGGTTTTGCCATATTGGCCAGGCTGGTCTCAAACTCCTGACCTCAGCCTCCCAAAGTGCTGGGGTTACAGGCGTGAGTCACCGTGCCCCGCCAAGTTGGATATTTTAAAAAGTCAACTAAATTTCAAATCTTTAGCTAGATTAACCAAGAAAAAAAAGAGAAAAGACTCAAATTACTAGAACCAGAAATGAGAGACATCACTACCAATCTTACACATATAAAAAAAAAATTATAAAAAACACTATAACAAATGTGTGCCAAAAAAATAGATAACTTAGATGAAATGGACAACTTTCTAGGAAGGCAGAAATTACCAAAACTGACTCAAGAATAAATTAAAAATCTAAATAGACCTATAAAGAGATTAGATTAGTAATTTTAAAAACTACCCTACAAAGAAAAGCACAGGCCCACATAGCTTCACTGGTGAATTTTACCAAACATTTAAAGCATTAATATGAATGTTTCACAAACTCTGCAAAAAATTAGAAGCAGATACCAAGAACATTTAATGGAAAAAGAATAGTGTTTTCAACAAATGGTGCTTGGACACCTGGATATCCAAATGCAAAGAATAAAGTTGGACACTTACCATACGCCAAATACAAAAATAGATCGAAGATCTAAATGTAATAGCTAAAACTATAAAATTCTGGGAATAAAACATAAGCATACATCTTTATGCTCTTGACTTTGGCAATGGAATCTTAAATATGATAGCAAATACACAAGCAATAAAAGAAAAACTAGATAAATTGGACTTCATTAAAAATAAAGTTTTGGCCGGGCGCTGTGGCTCACGCCTGTAATCCCAGCACTTTCGGAGGCCGAGGCAGGCAGATCACGAGGTCAGGAGGTCGAGACCATCCTGGCTAACACGGTGAAACCCCGTCTCTACTAAAAATACAAAAAATTAGCCGGGCGCGGTGGCGTGGGCCTGTAGTCCCAGCTACTCGGGAGGCTGAGGCAGAGGAATGGCATGAACCCGGGAGGCGGAGCTTGCAGTGAGCCGAGATAGTGCCACTGCACTCCGGCCTGGGCGAAAGAGCGAGACTCTGTCTCAAAAAATAAATAAATAAATAAAAATAAAAATAAAATAAAGTTTTGTGCTCCAAATACACCATTAAGAAGTGAGAAGAGGCCGGGCATGGTGGCTCACGTCTGTAATCCCAGGAAGGGATATTCTGGGAGGCTGAAGGTCAGGAATTCAAGACCAGCCTGGGCAACATGGTGAAATCCCATCTCTACTAAAAATACAAAAATTAGCCAGGCGAGGTGGCATGTGCCTGTAATCCCAGCTACTTGGGAGGCTGAGGCACAAGAATCGCTTGAACCCGGCAGGTGGAGATTGCAGTCAGCCAAGATTGTGCCACTGCACTCCAGCCTGGGCAACAGAGTGAGACTCTGTCTCAAAAAAAAAAAAAAAAAAAAAGTGAGAAGAGAATTCAAAGAATGGAAGAAAATATTTGCAAATAATATATCTGATAAGGGGCTTATATGTAGAATATATAACTCTTACAACTCATTAATAAGAAGACAAACAACCCAACTTAAAAATAGGCAAAGAACTTGAATAGACATTTCTTCAAAGAAGATATAAAAATGACCAATAAGCACATGATAAGATGTTCAACGTCATTAAGCATCTGGTTGCAAATCAAAGCCACAATGAGATACCACTTCACACCCATTAGGATGACTAAAATCAAAAAGTCAGGTAGTAGTAAGTATTCACAAGGATGTGGACAAGTCAGAAACCTCATACTCTCCTGGTGGGAATGTAAAATTGTGCAGCTGCTTTGGAAAACAGCCTGGCAGTTCCTCAAAAGGTTAAACATAGAGTTACCACATGGCCCAACAATTCCACTCCTAGATATACACCAAGAGAAATGAAAAATGAAAATCTATGTTCACACAAAGACTTGTACACAAATATTTATAGCAGCACTATTTGTAATTGCTAAAAGGTGGAGACAACCCAGATATCTATCAACTGATAAATAGATAAATAAAATGTAGTATAGCCGGACAATGAAACATTATTCAGCCATAAAAGGAATGAAGTATTGATACATGCTAGAACATAGATGAACCTTAAAAACAGCATGCTAAGTAGAAAATCAGTTACAAAAAATCATATATTATATGATTACATTTATATGAAACGTGAAGAATAGGCAAATTTGTAGGATCAGAAAGTAGGTTAGTGGTTGCTTAGGGATTGGAGGATGGGGGCACAGGAGGATAGCTACAGGGTACCAGATTTCTTTTTGAGGTGATGAAAATGTTCTAAAATTGCTTGTGGTGATGGCAGTTCGACTCTGTGTATATGCTAAAAGCCTATGAATTACACTCTTTATTTATTTGTTTGTTTGTTTGTTTGTTTTTGAGACAGGGTCTCACTCTGTTGCCCAGGTTGGAGTGCAATGGCGCAGTCTTGGCTCACTGCAACCTCCGCCTGCCCGATTCATGTGATTTTTCCCCCCTCAGCCTCCTGAGCTGGGATTACAGACCACCATGCCTGGCTAATTTTTGTGTTTTTCATAGAGACAGGGTTTCACCATGTTGGCCAGGCTGGTCTCGAACTCCTGATCTCAGGTGATCTGCCCACCTCAGCCTTCCAAAGTGCTGGGATTACAGGTGTGACCCACTGCGACCAGCCCTGAATTGTACACTTAAAATGGCTGAATTGTATGGTATATCTAATAAAGCTGTTCCCAAAAAAAACAAAAAAGAAAATATAACAAATTAACTTGAAAACCTAGATGAAGTAGAAAAAGTCCTAAAAATACGTAATTTGCCTAAACTGATTTGTGATATGATAGAAAACTTATAACCATTTAAAAAATTGTCAGTAGTTAAAATCCTCCCACAAGGTGAAGACTAGTTGCAAATAGGTCCAACTTGCACAAACTATCCCAGTATAGAAAAATATTATAAGCTAGCATAACCTTGAAACCAAAACCTGACCAGACCCTATAGAAAAGGAAAATTATGACACAACATCCTTTATGAATATATATGTAAATCCTGAAAACATATTAACAAATTAAATCCAGGCGTGTATGGAAAACCTTCTAAATCATGACAAAGCCAGATTTCTTCTGGTAATACAAGGGTGATTTACCATTAGAAAATCAATTGACATAATTCATCATATTAAAACAATAAAGAAGAAAGACTATATTATCATCCCAATAGATGTGAAGACTATTGGACAAAATTTAACATTCATTTTTGATTTTAAAACTCTTAGAGAAAAAAAACCAAATGAAGAACAGTAATATATTATGTCTTCATTTGGGTGAAAAATAAAGGGGGAATGTGTGTGTGTGTGTGTGTGTGTGTGTGTGTGTGTGAGATGACCCTCGTTACAGTGTCCAGAGCAGAGAACTAGGTTATGAGGTGACATGAGTGGAAGGGAGAGTTTGTCTACATATCCTTTTCTGCCTTTTGAATATTGTGCCGCAAAAATGAACAGACTATTAAAAATAAATTTTAACTTAACAATTAAATTACATTTGTAAAAAATGCTTAGCAAATTAGGAATAGAAAGAAACTTTCTTAATCCAATAAAGAATATCTAAAATCAAACATCATTCTTAATATTGATATTTGCAGCTGGGCATGCTGGCTCATGCCTGTAATCCCAGCACTTTGGGAGGCTAAGATGGAAGAATCCCTTGAGCCCAGGAGTTCAAGACCAGCCTGAACAACATGATGAGACCCTGTCTCTACCAAAAACATTTTTTTTTTAATTATTGGGGCTTGATAGTGTGTGTCTGTAGTCCCTGCTGCTACTCAGGAAGCTGAGACAGGAGGATCACTTGAGCCCGGGAAATCAAAGCTACAATGAACCATGATCATGCCACTGTACTCCAGCCTGGGTGAAAGAGCAAGACCCTGTGTCAAATAAATAAATAAATAAATAAATAAATAAATAAATAAATAAATAAATAAAAGATACTTGAAAGCATTAAAGATCAAGAGCAAGACAAACCTGTAATCCCAGCACTTTGGGAGGCTGAGGCAGGTGGATCACCTGAGGTCAAGAGTTTGAGACCACCCTGGCCAACATGGTGAAACCCGGCTCTACTAAAAATACAAAAATTAGCCATGTATGATGGCACGTGCCTGCAGTCCCAGCTACTCAGGAGGCTGGGGCAGAAGAATCACTTGAACACGGGAGGCAGAGGTTGCATTGAGCCGAGATCACACCATTGCACTCCAGCCTGGGTGACAGAGACTCCGTCACAAAAAAAAAAAAAAGCAAGACAAAGATGGCTGCTTTTACTACTTCTTTTCAACATTATTCTCAAAGATCTTAGCCAGCACAGAGGCATAATAAAATATGTAAAAAGGAATAAGGATTGAAAAAGAAGAAACAAAACTGTCATTATTTGCAGATGATGTTTGTCTACAAGAATATCCAAAATAAACTATAGATAAATTACTACAATTAATGTGACAGTGGAGCAATATTCCAGGCCTTAAAATCAGTAAACGAAAATAACAAAAATTAATTGCATTCCAATGTAACAACAATAAACACTGAAAATGTTATTTCTAAAACTGATCCCATTTACAATAACATTAAAATATATAAAACAGCAGTTCCAAAAATAACAAATGTGTAGAACCTTTAATGAGAAAATTTTTTTAATTTAATGATATACATTTAAAGAAAATGAAAGTAAATGGAGCAATATACCATGTTTATAGACTGGAAGACTCAATATAATAAAGATATAAGTTATCTCAAAATTGCTTTATAGATTCAAAGAAATTCCAATCAAATTTCTGAAAAGTTTTTTTAGAATTTGTCAAGCTAATTTTAAAATTTGTATGAAATCATCAAAGCGTTCATGTAAAGAGAATACCAAAGTGGGCATACTTGCTTTACCAGATAACAAGAATTATTCTAAAGCTCTTGTAATCAAGACAGTACAGTATTGCTGCAGTGATAGACAAATCTCCCACAATAAAGAACTCAAGAGCCAGGCTCTATTCTTTCCATTCTATCCACCTGAAATTTCTATTATCTGGATTGAAATGATGAATATATCTTTCACATTATCTAATATTTCTTTCCATATATTTGCCCTTTTATATCACATTTGGGAGTATTCTTCAACTTGACCTTCTGGCTTGATAATCTGCTCCTCAAATAAACACATTTGTCATATATACATATATATATATATGTATATATATATGTGTATATATATATAAATGAACACATTTGAGGGGCATATTATCATTAGAGGAACTAATTCACTGAGGTTTTTTGTTTGTTTGTTTTTGTCTTTATTTCAACAATCAACAGAATCTCTAATTGGTTTTTGTTTTCATATAAACTTGTTATTGTTCCATGGATGAAAAATCCTTTCTTGTCCTTCCAATGGTATAAATCACACTTCTTTCAAAGTCTCATTTACTTTATTCATGGTTTTCTTCAATGTTAGTTTCTCTTTGTTGGGTTTGGTTTCTCACTTTTATGATGTTAGTTTTCCTTCAGCGTGTGCTTATTCTTATTGTCAGGCTTATCTTTTTATTTAAGATTCCATATTGGCCTGTCTGTGGATGTGGTTTTCATTGACTATCTCCAGAAATTATAATGGGAGGATATTGTCTGTGCTCCTCATTCCTTCAGAGATTTCTCTGAGTTTCAAGTTCAAGCATTGGCAATGACTGACTCCGCTTAAGGGCCAATATCTCTGATGCTCACTGCTTCAACCTGCCCACTTGCTGCCAGTTAGAGCCCCTAACCAGTCATCGAGATGGTTGCCTCCTTCTTTTCCTTGTAACTGTTGCCTCTGAACTAAGAACGCCTCCAGAACCACTCCCCTTATTGCAGTAATCCCTTCCTTACTTTGTTTGGCTGTGGTTTCTTCCAACAATTCAACCTCATCTGCTTACCATTTTTCAGGAATTCCTGAACATTTCTTGTTGGCTGATAGCACTTTTTCTTGCTTTTCAGTACTGTTAAGAATTTATTTTCTAAAATACCTAGGAATAAATTTAGCCAAGAAGATGAAAGATCTCTGCAAGGAAAACTATTAAACTATTGAAGAAATAAATTGAAGAGGACACACAAAAAATAGAAAAAAAACTCATGCTCGTGGATGGAAAGAATATTGTGAAAATGACCATACTACCAAAGCGACTTACATATTAAATGCAATCCCTGTCAAAATACCAGAGATGCAAGATTTTACTTTCTGGACCAAATTTGGGACATAATTTCTGATTTATAAGTTTACTGATATGAAAAGCCATCCAGATTCGTAAAAGTGAAACTATATTTGAGGGTTTCCCTTCATTGAAAATGACATAAAGGTAATTATAAAGCTTAGAGAAAGGGACAGGTCAGTGAATGGACTGTTGGATTCTGAGAGGGTAGATTCTTTTAACACAGATATGATCTCTTTCCTCAGGGTCTCCTAGCAAAGAGAAACTAACAGAACCCAAGGAGGCAAAACAGATGGTTACATAACTCGGGCACGCAGATTTTATGTCTACCAGATTCCTAGATCTGTGATCCTGCTGCCTGAGCCCTGGAGTCCAGGATTTCACAGCTATTTCAAACCCCATCCCCAAAGGTCACAGAGAAGGGCCTGATGGCCACCAGGGGGAGCCCAGGAGCTGAAGCAGATCAGCTCACCTGAAATCAATCCAGCATCCATGCATGACAAGAATAAAAAACATAAGGAAGAAGAACGGTTTATCCCAGAAATACAAAGATAATTCAACATTAGGAAAAAAAACACATTAATATAAATCACTTTATTAACATATTAAAAGGAGAGGAGCCATATGGTTATGACAAAGTAAAGACCCGAATTGATGGAAAGACAAAAAACAATGTTCTTGGATGAGAAAACTTGATTTTGTAGGGATGTCAATTCCATCCCAAATTAGCCAATAAATTACAAGCAAAATCCCAGGAGAATTTTTGTGAAATGTGACAAGCTGATTGCAAAATTTATCTGGAAAAGAAAATGTGCAAGAATAGCCAAAAAATGATTGAAAAAGGCTGGTAAGAGAGGATTTCGCCTAGCAGATATCAACATAAAGCTACAAATCACTATAAAGCCATAGTAATTAAAACAGTGTGACATGAGGACAGAAAGACAATAAAATTTCTTTAGAACATAACACTAGGTCCAGAAAGAGACTAATAAATTTGTGAGAAATTCGTATATGAGAAAGGTGGCATTTTTTAAATCAATGAGAAAAGAATGACCTCCATAATAAATTTTATTGTGGCAAGTAAATAAGTTTACTTATCCTACCTCACTCACTCAATAAGTAAATTCCAGATAAAATAAAAGTTAAATTGAAAAGTAAAACTTTTAAATCATTAGAAGAAAATACAGAAAGGCGAATGTACTTAAAACCTTGGGGATATTACACAAGAGACAACGAAAAAGAAATTTGCTACCCCAAATAATTAAACTTCTATGTAACAAAAGATATCATACACAAATAAAAAAGGTAACTGACATAAAATGTTTGCCACATATATAATACACAAAGAAATACTATAGAGACTATATAAAGAATTTCTAGAAATCATTATTTTCAAAATTAGAAAAATGAGCATAAAATATGAAGAGATAATCAACAGAAAAAAATTTTAATGGCAAAAAATGACAAATAGAATTATTATTAACATTTTTAGTGATCAGGGAAATGTAAAATAAAACAGCAAGATATCCTTTTTCACCCATTGTAATACAAAATTTAAAAGACTGAGGCCAGGTGAGGTGGCTCAAGCCTGTAATCCCTGAACTTTGGGAGGCTGAAGGGGGAGGATCACTTGAGATCAGGCATTCAAGACCAGCCTAGGCAAATAACAAGACTCCATCTCTAAAAAAAAATTAAAATAATCATCAGGGTGCGCTGGCATGCTCCTGTAGTCCTGCTTACTCGGGAAGCTGAGACATGCGGATCACTCACGCCCAAGAGTTCAAGGTTACAGTGAGCTATGATTGCACCACTGCGCTACAGCCTGGGCAACAAAGCAAAATTCCATCTCTTTAAAAGTTTAATTTAATTTAATTTTAACTTAAAAATAAAAAATAAAAGACTGATAACACCCAGTATCAGTCAGGATATGGAGAAATGGGTACTGTTATATTCTTGGTGGAGATTTAAATTAAGACAACATTTCTGAGGGCAATTTAGGGCATCTTTCAACAATTTAAATAAACATACCTTCAATCCAATAACTTCCTGTCAAAATATCTATCCTAGAGAAGTATCTGTACATGTGCCAAAGAGTCATGTAAAATGATATGATTTGCAGCATTGTTTGCATGGCCAAAGAAAACATGAGATACAACCTAAATGTCTAACAACAGGAAATACTCAAATAAGCTATAATATATTCACACAATAGAATATTACATATAACTTACAAAGAAACAATTATATAAAAATATCTACGGTCGGGCGCGGTGACCCACACCTGTAATCCCAGCACTTTGGGAGGCCGAGGCAGGTGGATCACCTGAGGTCAGGAGTTTGAGACCAGCCTGACCAGCATGGTGAAACCCCGTCTCTACTAAAAATACAAAAATTAGCTCGGTGTGGTGGTGCATGCCTGTGGTTCCAGTTACTTGGGAGGCTGAGGAGAATCGCTTGAACCTGGGAGCCGGAGGTTGCAGTGAGTCGAGATCACGCCACTGCACTCCAGCCTGGGCACCAAGAGTGAAACTCCATTCTCTCTCTCTCAATCTCTCTCTCTCTCTCTCTCTCTATGTATATATATATATGTGTATGTGTGTGTGTGTGTGTGTGTGTATATATATGTATATATGTGTGTATATATATGTATACATATATTATATATGTGCATATACATATGTGTATATATGTATACACATATGTATATATGTGTACATACACATTTACATATATATACACAAGACATGGTATATTGTTAAAAGCAAGCCTCACATATTAAAGAAAGACACAGAAGATTTTTAAAGACCCAAATAAAACTTTTAAAAATAAAAAAATACAATTTTTGAGATTAAAAAAAAATCAAATGGATGAATGCAACATGATATCCTGGATTGGATCCAGGAACAGAAAAAGGATATTTGTGGGAAAACTGGGAAAATTTGAATAAAGCCTGTAGTTTAATTAATAGTGCCAATTATGTTTAGTTAATAGTGCCAATTATGTTTAGTTGTGTCACTGCTAATTTCTGAGTTTTGATGAACATTTCATGGCTATATAAGATGTTCACATTAGGAGAAGTTGGTTGAAAGTTATTCAGGAAATCTACATCCTATCTTTAGAACTCTTCTGCCAATCTAAGATTATTTCAAAATTTAAAACAAATTTCAAATATATTAGATGGAATTAATAGCAGACTAGAACCTACAGCAGAAAATATTAGTAAACTTGATACCATAGCAATATACATTAACCAAAATAAAATACACAAAAATATAAATAAATAAAATATCAGTGAGCTTTGGGACTTCAAGTAGCCTAATATAGGTACAACTAGAATCTCAGGAAAAGAAGCAATGGACAGAAAAAAAATGATCAAAATTTTTCTACACTTAAAAAAACCTACAAAATCATAGATCCAAAAACCTCAACAAAGCCCAAGCAGAAGAACAAGAAGACAGCTACAAAATCATAGATCCAAGAATCTCAACAAAGCCCAAGCAGAAGAACATGAAGACAGCTACACCAAGGCATATTATAATACTATTGCTTTAATCAGCGGTAAAGAGAACATCTTAAAAGCAATCATAGAAAAAGACACGTTATATACAGAGGAACAAACAAGAATGACAGCAGTCATTGTCAGAAACAATGCAAGCCAGAAGACAGTAGCGCAATATCTTCAAAATGGTAAAAGGAAAATTAAACTGTCAGAATTCTATACTAAGCAAAATACCTCTCAATACTGAAGTTAAATAAAAATATTTTCAGACATACAAAATTTGAAAGATTTTATTACCAACAGTCCAGATCTATAAGAATGTTAAAAGAAGTCCTTCAGGTGGAAGAAAAATGTTATCAGAAGAAAATACCTATCTATACCAGGCAATAAAGAGCCCTAGAAATGGTGAATATGTGAATAAATATAAAATATTTTTACTCTAATTTTTAAACCTTTTAAAACATAGCTTGGATGTGGCCAATAGGAAGCTAATAATTTTTTTAAAGGAAGGAATATATGGCATAGTTGACTATTGGAAGCAAAAGTAATAAGGTATTATAGAATTTTAACAGATGTGGAATTACAATATATAACAACAATAGCTCAAAACCCAGATGAGGGGAAGTGAAAGGGCATTGTTGCGACATTTATATACTATAGGTGAGGTGGTATTACATTAATTAAAGGTAGATTAAAAGAGGAACAAATAACAGATGGAACAATAGAAAACAAACAGCCAGATGAAATATTTAAATCCAACTATGTCCCTGGTCATTTTTAATGCAATTGGTCTAAGCATCTAAATTAAAGGGCAGAGATTGTCTGATTAAATTTTTAAAGATCCGGCCGGGCACAGTGGCTCACGCCTGTAATCCCAGCACTTTGGGAGGCCGAGGCAGGCAGATCACGAGGTCAGGAGATTGAGACCATCCTGGCCAACATGGTGAAACCCCGTCTTTACCAAAAATACAAAAATTAGCTGGGCCTGGTGGCACGTGCCTGTAATCCCAGCTACTCAAAGGAGGCTGAGGCGGGAGAATGGTGTGAACCCAGGAGGCAGAGCTTGCAGTGAGCCGAGATCACACCACTGCACTCCAGCCTGGCGACATAGCAAGGCTCCATCTCAAAAAAAAAAAAAAAAAAAATTAAAGCTCCAATTCTATATTAATAGCAGACAAAGTAGATATTAGAGCAAAAACATTAACAGGGATAAAGAGGGTCATTTGAAAATGACAAAGATGTCAGTTCATCAAGATAACATAACAGTCCTAAAAGCTTATATATCTAATGACAGAGCCTCAAAATACATAAAGCAAGACCTGATAGAACTGAAAGGAGGAATAGACAAATCTGTAATTGCAGCCAAAGATTTCAACATCCCTGTCTCAGTAGTTGAAAAATAAGTAGACAGAAAATTAGTAAGAATATAGGAGACTTGGACAATACTTTCATCCAACTTAATTGATATTTATAAAACCCTTCACCCAATAACAGCAGAATACCGTGGAAAAAGACAGCTAAGGAAAATCCTCCTGGGGTCAAAACAAACCTCAAAGACTGGCCTCAAAAATACTCCTGCCCAAATTTAATTGGATCAGACTGTGGCACAATGTATTCCCCATCACATGATCAAAAACAATAAAGCAATCAGATGACAATTTGTGGAGCCTAACACTGGCTGTGATACCAGCAGAAGTAGATACTTTTACAAATAGATCAGGAAAAGCAACAGTCAAATGGCTCTGCTAAAACCACTGTTATCCCAGGGTGTGAATGTGCACATATCCAAGGCTACATACAGCCTCTGAGGAAAGACAGAGGCTTCGTGCTGTGGGATAATAGACTAAATTAAATAGTCTAGCCAAGTCAGGAATAAAGAAGTAAAAAATAACAAAAGCAAGCTACAAAGACGGGTGGAAGATCGGTATCTAGAGTGGCTACCATATATTACCAAAAATATACAGTTTCAACAAAAAATTATGAATCATGCAAAGGAACAAGAAAGTATGCATACATGAAGGGGGAACACAGGCAAGAGAAACTGCCTGCAAAAGGCCTCAAGTCATATTTAGCCAATGAAGATTTCAAGCATCCACTGTAACTATATTCAAAGAATTAAAGGAATTCATGCTTAAAGAATTAAAGGATCTACATATTTGGTGCAATCCCTATCAAAATCCCAATGATGTTTTTGCAGAAATAGAAACATCATCCTAAGATTCATATGGAATCTCAAGGGACCTTGAGTAGTCAAAACAACTTTGAATAATAACAAAGCTGAAGGACTCACACTTCCTGATTTCAAAACTTACTACAAAGCTACAGTAATCAAAACAGTATGGTACTGGCATAAAGACAGACACACAGACCAATGGAACAGAATGAAAAGCCCAGAAATAAACCCTCATATCAAGTGATTTTTGTCAAGAGCAATGAGACTATCTATTTAGGAAGGGACAGTTTTTTTCAATAAATTGTGCTGGGAAAATTAGATGTCCACATGCAAAAGAGACTCTTACGTAGTGCCAAATACCAAAACAAAAATTCAAAATGGACCAAAGACCTACCAAAAACTATCAAACTTTTAGAAGAAATCACAGGGCAAAAGCTTCATGAATTTGAATTTGGCAATAATTTCTTGGATATGACTCCAAAGGCAGAGGCAAAAAAAAGAAAACAATCAACAAATTAGACTTCATGAAAATATTAAAATTTTGTGCATCACAAGACTATGTCAACAGAGTAAGAAGGCAACCCACAGAATGGGAGAAAATATTTATAAATTATGTATCTGATGAGGGATTAACATCCATAATATAGAGAGAACTCCTAAAACCCAAAACAAAAAAACCACAGTGCTATTAATAAAAGGGCAAATAACTTAAAGAGACATTTCTCCAAAAATCTATACAAATGGACAATAGGCACATGAACAAATGTTTACCACTAAATCATTAAGGTAATACAATCAAAACTACAATAAGATAGTCCATCTCACCCATTAGAATGGCTGCTATTTAAAAAAAAAAACAGAAAATAACAAGTGTTGGTGAGACTATGAAGCAATTGGAACCCTTGTGCACTGTTGGTGGAAATATAAAATGGAAAACAGTATGGTAGTTTCTCAAAAAAGTTAAAAATAAAATAACCATATGATTCAGCAATTCTACCTCTGGTGAGGGGTGGGGGAGTAAAGGAAGCTATGATGACAATTTCTCATCAAATAGAGATATTAATGAAGAGAAACTATTTTGAATGGAAATTCCAAAATTAAATATACAATAACCAAAATGAAAAATTCACTTAGAGGTGTTCAACAGTAGATTTGAACTGGCAAAAGAATCATCAGACTTGAAGAAAGATCGATAGAGATTATAGAATCTGAAGAACAGAAAGAAAAAGGGATAAAGAAAAATGAACATAGCCTCAGGGAAATGTGAAACACCCTTAAGTGTACTAACATATGAGTGAGATAGGATTACCAGGAGAGGAGAGAAAGAAATGAACAGAAAAAGTATTAGAAGACATAATGATAGAAAACTTCCCAAATTTGTTGAAAAACATTACACATCCAAGAAGCTCAACAAACTCAAAGAAATCCACCCCAGACATATAATAGTAAAAGTGCTTGAAAGACAAAGAGAAAACATTGACAGCAGTGAGAGACAAATAACTCATCACATACAAGGGAATGATAATAAGATTAGCAGCTGATTTCCTATCGGAAACAGTGGAAGCCAAAAGGCAGCAGGCTGACATATTCAAAATACTGAAAGAAAAGCCTGCCAACCAAAAATATTAAAAACAGAAAAACTGTCTTTCAAAAACCAAGGCAAAATAAAGACATACCTACATAAACAAAAACTAAGAGAATTCATTGCTAGCAGACCCACTTTACAAGAAATACTAAAAGAAATCCTCTAGGCTGAAAGCAAGCAAATACAGACGGAAATTCAAATCCACATGATAGAACAAAGAGCACTGATAAAGGTAATTATATAATTATAAAAGGCAGTTTTAAGTGCATATTTCTTATTTCTTCTCCTATTTTTCAAAGAAATCATATAAAACAATATGTATATAATTATATTCTTGGAAAAAATGTATACTCTAAAAATTACAAAATATTGTTGAAAGAAATTAAAGAAGATCCGACTGGCTCATTGGCGCTGTCATGGCAGGTGTGCTGAAGAAGACCACTGGCCTCATGGGATTGGCTGTATGCAAGAGTCCACACAAGACAAGCAACTAAAATCAGTCTGCTAAAATGTAAGAGGCTAAGAATATTGTACACAAAGATCCTTGATGTTCTTAAGCAAACCCCTTAAAAAGCAGCACATAGAAAGTATACAGAACAGATTGCAGATGAGAAATTGGCTATGGTTAAAGCAGAACCAGATGTTAAAAAATTAGAAGACCAACTTCAAGGTGTTCAAATAAAAGAGGTGATTCTTCAGGCTGAAAATGAACTAAGTCTGGCAAGAAAAATGATACAGTGGAAATGATAGGAGATGTTCATGGAAGAGCCTCCTGCCAATCAATGGAAATGGCCAATGTAATTAATAAATGACTGGTGGGTTGATGGGAAAAATAATATAATTAAATATTCTGTTATATTAAGAGCATGCCCATATTATTGACATTTTATAATCAAGAAAAGTAATATAGAAAATGTTTAAGAGACTTAAAATTAGTGATTATGGTAGTACAGTATTGTGAATCAATTTTTGATTTGTAAAGTATTCACACAAATTATTACAAAGATGATATTTCTTAGAACAGAGAGGTCATGGAAAGACTTGAAAATTAATTTTAAAAAATCCTACAGATCTTCAATGCAGAGGCCATACTCCAAAAGTAAAGTTTCTTTAGTAGTATCTTCAATACATCATTAATTTTTTTATCATTCTGAAGAAGAAAAGGTCCTTAATTATTATTGTCTAAACAAATTTATAGATCACTGTTTAAAGTAAATATAGTAAGAGTGAATATTTTCAAATGTGATAAAATAGCACAAGTGGCTGGTAATAAAATTTGAAATTATAGTTAACCTCCTTGGCTGTGATCTTACGTATGTAAAGTAAAATGTAAATACATAATTAGGCCAGGTGCAGTGGCTCACACCTGTAATCCTAGCACTTTGGGAGGCCGAGGCAGTTGGATCATTTGAGATCAGAAGTTTGAGACCAGCCTAGCCAACATGGTGAAACCCCATCTCTACCAAAAATACACAAAAATTACCTGGGTATGATGGTGTGTGCTTGTGATCCCAGCTACTCGGGAGGCTGAGGTGGGAGGATCACTTGAGCCCAAAAGGCAGAAGTTGCAGTGAGCCCAGGTCACACTACTGCACCCCAGCCTGGGTATCAGAGCGAAACCCCATCTCAAAGAAAAAAAATTAAAATTAAAATAGGCTAAAGAGCCTATTTTTTTCTCCAAAGAAGATATACAAATACCCAATGAGCACTTGAAAATATGTTCAATGTCATTAGCCATTAGAGAAATGCAAATCAAAATCACAATTAGATACCACTTCACTCTTACTATGATGGTTATATATAAATATAAATTTTTTTTTTGAGACAGGGTCTCACTCTGTCACCCAGGCTGGAGTAGGGTGGTATGAACATGGCTCACAGCAGCCCTCAACCTTCTGGGCTCAAGCTATTCTCCTGCCTCAATCTCCCAAGTAGCGGAGACTACAGGCACATGCCACCATGCCCGGCTAATTTTTGTATTTTTTGTAGAGACGAGGTTTCACCATGTTGCCCGGGCTGGTCTCGAACTCCTGGTCTCAAGTGATCTGCCCACCTCGGCCTCCCAAAGTGCTGGGATTACAGGCGTGAGCCACCACACCCAACCAAGATGGCTATAATTTAAAAAGCAGATAATAACAATTGTTGGTGAGGATGTGGAGAAATTGAAACCCTCACATATTGGGGAAATGTAAAATGGGAAAGTAAAATGATACTTTCCATTTTGGAAACTGGCAGTTCCCCAAAAATATACACATAGAGTTTCTATATGACCTAGAAACTCCACTCCTAAGAAAATATCCAAGAAAAATGAAAATATACATCCACACAAAAACTTGTATGCAAATGTTCATAGCAGCACTATTCGTAACAGTCAAAAAGTGGAATCAACCCAAATGTCTATCAACTGATGAATGGGCACATAAAATGTGGTATATCCATACAACTGAATATTAATTAGCAATAAAAAGAAAGTAAGTCCTGATACATGCTACAATATAGATGAACCTTGAAAACATTAAGCTAAGTAAGAGAAACCAGTCACAAAGGGAAACATATTTTATAATTTCATTTATGTAAAATGTCCAGAATAGGCAGCTCAAAAGAGACAAAAAGTAGATTAATGGTTTCCTAAGACTGGAGGAGGTTGAGGGGAAAAGGGGAGTGATGGCTAAAGGGTATGGGCTTCCTTTGGAAGTGATAAACATGTTCTAAAATCAACTGTGGTGATACTCAAAACTATTGCATTGTACACTTTAAATTCACCCGTTGTACACTTTAAACTCACCCATTTAAAGTGTACAATGCAATAGTTTTGTATTTGAATTGTACATTTTAAATGGGTGAATTTAAATGGGCGGCTGCATGGTGTTTGAATTATAGCTCAATAAAGATGCTATTTTTAAAAAGAACTAACCATTGATTCACACAACATGGATGACTCTCAAAATAATCACGCTGAGTGAAAGAAGCCAGATTTTAAAAAGAGTACATTCTGCATAATTCCCTTTATGTAAAATGCTAGAAAATGAAAGTAATCTACAGTTACAGAGAGCAAATCAGTGGCTGCCTGGTTGGGGAAGAAAGGAATGGATTACCAAGGGGCATGAGAAAAATTGTGGGTATATTAGATAAGTTCATTATCTTGATTGTGGTCATGGTTTCATGACTGTATACATTAAAACTAATCAAATTATATGATTTAAATATAGTTGTACATCAACCATCCTTCAATAAAGCTGCAACAAAAAAGCATACTAAAAAGTCACAAGACCTATTTCCATGTATAGATATACATATGCAAATGGCCAGAAAAGTATCTGGATAGATATACACAAAACTAATAACAATAGTTACTTTTGGAAAAGTGGGAGAGTGGGAAGGGTGGGTGAGGCTGGGTATGGAAGAGTGAGGGAAGGGTGAGGCTGGGTATGGGAGAGTGGGAAGGGTGGGTGAGGCTGGGTATGGGAGAGTGGGGGGAGGGTGAGTCTGGGTATGGGAGAGTGGGAAGGGTGGGTGAGGCTGGGTATGGAAGAGTCAGGGGAGGGGGAGGCTGGGTATGGGAGGGTGGGGGAGGACAAGGATGGGTATGGGAGAGTGGGAGGGGTGGGTGAGGCTGGGTACGGAAGAGTGGGGGGACGGTGAGGCTGGGTATGGAAGACTTGGGGGTCCTCTCTGCCTAGGAAGGGTTTGCACTCAGCAGCCTGGGAGCACACCTGTCATCAGTGCTCCCTCACATCTGGCACCACCTGACATGTAGCAGGTCCTCAGTTACTTCTAGGTTCTGGGATGAGTAAGTGAGGGTGGAATAAAAGACGGAAATGGTCTCCTGCAAGGAAGGCACTGAGAGGAACTGTGCTCCACCCAGGCCCAGGATTTGGCATCGTGTCCCATGGGATTAATGACACCGTGCCAGATACCCTGGAACACTAAGGAGAGGTGACTCATGCTCTTTTGCTGGTGAGAGGATTGTGGCAGCACCTGGGGCACTGATATCCATCTAGAATGGTAAAAGAACAAGCATTGTTTGAAACCTAATAGAAGCATACACCTGCTCTGAGCATGGTATAGGGGTCACACTGTTGGGAGGGCTGGATTCTAGCTTCACCTCACCAGAGACCTGTTGTGTGACCTCAGCATCCCCATCTATACAATGGGAGATCCAACAAGTTGGCCTCTGGTCATGTTCCATGCTAATACCCTAGGAGTTCATGAAGTCAAAGCAGCCCTCGCTCTGGCCCACAGAACATAGGGGTTTGGAGCTGGGCCAAAAGCTCCATCAGATTTTAGCTGGGAAACCCACAGGAAGGCAGATTGTGAAGGTCCAATCCACACAGGGTAGCTAATGAAACAGGCCCTGGGCAGGGGACAGGGGAACATGCCCAGCGATAGGCTTCAAGGTCAGCAGCCCTCCAACACACAGCACGGTGTATGCTTTGTTCATGGATACTAGAGTAGGCCTGAAGAGACAGGTCAGACCACTGCAGGCCGAGGACATTCCAGACAGAAGGAATAGCAAATGCGATGGCTCAGAGGCTTCCTTAAAGCCAGGAGAATCTCCACCTGCTCAGAGACCACCTAGCCCACTAGTTCCTCAAAGTGTGGTACCTACATCAGCAGCAGAAGCATCGCCCAGACGCACCGAGTCAGAAACTGGGTTTGGGGCCCAACAATCTGTTTTAACAAACTTTCCAGGTGATTCTGGTGCATGTTAAAGTTTGAGAACTGTTGATCTAGCCTACTGTTTCCCAGACTATGCTCATAGAACACTTATCTGCAGTAGGTTAATGGGTTTTCTGTAAAAGGGGATCCATGATCAAATAAGTTTGGGGTACAGATGTTCTACATTGCTTTGCAGGAGTCATAGATCACATTAGCGTAGTAAACGCTCTGAGAAGTCCTGCAGTAAAGAGCTTTATTTTTTATTAATCCAATGTTGTCTCAAATTGATTTTTCAGATTGCTTACTAATGTTCTCATTAACATTCTCTCAGGGAATGCTGATCTAAATCAATGCTCATTTTTCACATGGATAAACTGAGGCCTAGAGAGGATAAAGGGATTGCCCGACGTCACAGACAGTGAGTGTGGCAGTGCTGGAAAAGATCCTGACAGTCCACCTCGTCCCAGAAAGGGCTCTGTGAGCTTCCCCGCACCCTGTACCCTCTCTCCTTCCATCCCAGCTGTGGACCATCTCTTCAGAACTCTGCAGCATGGAGCCGCTCAACAGAACAGAGGTGTCCGAGTTCTTTCTGAAAGGATTTTCTGGCTACCCAGCCCTGGAGCATCTGCTCTTCCCTCTGTGCTCAGCCATGTACCTGGTGACCCTCCTGGGGAACACAGCCATCATGGCGGTGAGCGTGCTAGATATCCACCTGCACACGCCCGTGTACTTCTTCCTGGGCAACCTCTCTACCCTGGACATCTGCTACACGCCCACCTTTGTGCCTCTGATGCTGGTCCACCTCCTGTCATCCCGGAAGACCATCTCCTTTGCTGTCTGTGCCATCCAGATGTGTCTGAGCCTGTCCACGGGCTCCACGGAGTGCCTGCTACTGGCCATCACGGCCTATGACCGCTACCTGGCCATCTGCCAGCCACTCAGGTACCACGTGCTCATGAGCCACCGGCTCTGCGTGCTGCTGATGGGAGCTGCCTGGGTCCTCTGCCTCCTCAAGTCGGTGACTGAGATGGTCATCTCCATGAGGCTGCCCTTCTGTGGCCACCACGTGGTCAGTCACTTCACCTGCAAGATCCTGGCAGTGCTGAAGCTGGCATGCGGCAACACGTCGGTCAGCGAAGACTTCCTGCTGGCGGGCTCCATCCTGCTGCTGCCTGTACCCCTGGCATTCATCTGCCTGTCCTACTTGCTCATCCTGGCCACCATCCTGAGGGTGCCCTCGGCCGCCAGGTGCTGCAAAGCCTTCTCCACCTGCTTGGCACACCTGGCTGTAGTGCTGCTTTTCTACGGCACCATCATCTTCATGTACTTGAAGCCCAAGAGTAAGGAAGCCCACATCTCTGATGAGGTCTTCACAGTCCTCTATGCCATGGTCACGACCATGCTGAACCCCACCATCTACAGCCTGAGGAACAAGGAGGTGAAGGAGGCCGCCAGGAAGGTGTGGGGCAGGAGTCGGGCCTCCAGGTGAGGGAGGGCGGGGCTCTGTACAGACGCAGGTCTCAGGTTAGTAGCTGAGGCCATCGTATGCCAATGCCAGTGAAGACATGGCAGGGCTGGGGCTACAGGTCTGGTATCTTCATCCCAGCAAGGCAGCACCAAGTCCCGCTGATCCTGCCACAGAACAGCCCCCAAATCACCCTCTGCTCTCAGCATCACCCTGGCCTTCACACCAGCCTCCTGGCTGGTCCCAAGACTTCAGTCCTGTTCCTCCCTCCAATCTCTCCTTCATGGGGCATCTTTTTGAAATGCACATGTGATTGCATCACTCTTCTCACTGAAATCCCTAGGTGGCTCCCCACTGTTCTCAGAACAAAGTGGAAGCTTTTCAGTGGGGCATTTGAGGCCCTCACAAGCTGGCCCTGCCTGACTGGCTCCCCAGCCTTCCTCCCCTCCCACCCCATCTCCCTCCTCACAGCCACACACACCAGCCAGTTGTGGCCCCCACATGCCCTGCACCACCCAGCTCTGTGCTCTCCTTGTTTCTCCCCACGAGGCAGCACCCCCTCCCCTATCCCCAGCACACTTCTCCATATGTAAAAGGACTGACTGCCTGACCCTTCAGGCCCAGCTCAAATGCCACCTCCACCAGGAAGCCACCCCACCTTGCTCCTCTTGCTGTGCCCCTCTGTGTTTTCAGCATTACTCCAAGAGCAGGGAGTGTCAGATTCTACTCTCTCCCAAGGTCCAGCCTTGCCCAACTCTAGGCCCTGCACAAGTTTCTTAAATAGAGATATTAACATGTCAATGTAGGGGTGACAATGGCAGAGCCTAGAGTTCTTCCCAAAACTGAGCAGAGCTGAGACGGAGTCCACAGATGACGAGAATGGCCCAGCTTCCCTGGTAGGTGACAGTAGAGGCAGCAATGAGGCCTGTATTAGTCAGGGTTCTCTTAGAGGGACAGAACTAATAGGATAGAGGAGTTTATTAAGTATTAACTTACACGATCACAAGGTTCCACAATAGGCTGAGGAGCAAGGAGAACCAGTCCGAGTCCCCAGACTGAAGAACTTGGAGTCCATTGTTCAAGGGACGGAAACATCCAGCATGGGAGAAAGATGTAGGCTCGGAGGCTAGGCCCGTCTCTCCTTTTCACGTTTTTCTGCCTGCTTTATATTCACTGGAAACTGATTAGATCATGCCCACCAGATTAGGGTGGATCTGCCTTCCCCAGCCCACTGACTCAAATGTGAATCTCTTTTGGCAACACCCACACAGAACACACCCAGGATTCATACTTTGTATCCCACGATCCAAAGAAGTTGACACTCAGTATTAACCATCACAAGGCCCAAAGTCCAAGATTCCCAGACCTGTCAGGCCCTGGGACACCAATCATCCAGCCCAAAGCCTGAAGCCACCCCATTCCTCCCACCTCACCCCGCCCAGCAGCAACAGCAGCAGCAGCAGCTTCCAGTGCTCCCTTTCTTGGGATCCAGGCCTCACCTGGCTTGAGGAAGCTTGTTTTACCCATCCTCACCTCATGCCCTGGGACCCTGCCATAGTTGCCCCTGCCTGGTGCTCAGCCTCTTCCAGCTTTTCTTTCTGATAACTCAGTGCACAGGCAGTGGACACTGACCTAGATTCACGGAGCATTTCCATTCCCTGCCTTGCCCTGGCCTCCATGGTACCATCTGTACGATGGGAGCACTGGGCTTGCCCTGCAAGCAGCAGTCCACCTTTCCTGCCCCCGGCTACAGGTAAGCACAGCCCCTGCATGAGGCCTGAATTCCCCTCCCAGGGCTTTCTCCCTGCTTCCTCTGCTGGCCAGAACAGAGGCACAGAGAAGCATGGCTAGAGGAGTGAGAGATACCCAAGCCTCTCTGACCACGCCTGAGAGAAGGCTGCCAGTAGCCATGCCAGTGGCCATGCCATTCTGCTGGGCCATGGATACATCACAGAGGTTTGGGTTTTATTCTGTGGGCTCTGGGGGTTTACAATCAGATTGACTTTTAGCAAGGTCACTGATTAGATACCATTCTCTCTCTTGTTTAACACAATGTCCACTGTTAGGTACCATGTGGTGAAGTAGGCAGTGTCATACACTGCTGGTGGAAATGGGGATAATTTAATATGAACTTCCTAGAAAGTAAGTTGGAAATATGAATCAAGGGCCTTCAAAACTTCCAGACCCCTTGACCCAACACCTCTACTTCTAGGAATCCAGTCTAAGTAAATAATAAAGGGCACAAAGATTTGGACATAAGGATATTAATAACAGCATTATTTGTAGTAACAAAAAAACTGTAATAATCTTAATGTTCAACCATAGAAGAATATTTAAACAAATCCCGGTGGAGTCCAATGACAGTATGTGATGCAGCCGTTAAGAATCTGTTTTTTTTTTTTTTTTTTCAAGACAGGGTCTCACTCTGTTACCCAGGCTGGAATGTAGTGGTACAATCTTGGCTCACCGCAGCCTCAACTTCCTGGGCCCAAGCAATTCTCCCACCTCAGCCGTCTGAGGAGCTGGGACTACATGCATGTGCCACCACGTCCAGCTAATTTATTTTTAATAGAGACGAGGTCTCGCTATGTTGCCCAGGCTGGTCTTGAACTCCTGGGCTCAACCGATCCTCCCAACTCGGTCTCCCAAAGTGCTGGGATTACAGGCATGAGCCACCATGCCTGGCCAGGAATCTTATTTTTTGAAGGGTATATGATAATGGGCAATACTCGTAAAGTAACTAGAAAAAAAAAAAGCAGAACACATAACATTGTATTTTAGTATGATCTCAATTTTAACTTTTTAAGTATTTTTCTTACAGATCTATGAATAAGTCAGTATCTAGGAAATACTGGAAAACGATGACCAAATATTAACTAACAGTTGTTTCCTTTGGGTGACAGGGTTACAGATAAGTACTGTTTTTTAAATTATTATTTTCAATATTATCCAATATTTCTATGATGACCATGACTTTGAACTTAAAAAATAATGGTATGTGGAAGACCACCTTGCCCGCAGTAGACGACAGATGAGAAAGGCTTCCTCCTGAGGGCAGGGAAGGGAGGAAGCTGCTGTAGTCACCCAGGCCCTCAGTGAGGCCTGAGCTGGCTGGGCAGTAAAGGAGAGGGTGGCCCCAAGAAATATTGGGGAGATAGATATAGATGCAAAATAACATTTGGGAGCTAGAGATATAATATTTGGGATTACAGTTAACCCCTGAACAACACGGGGGTGAGGGGTGCCAACTCTCCTCACTGTAAAAAAAAAAATCCATGTATAACTGTTGACTGGAAGCCTTATCAATAACATAAAGTCGATTAACACATAATTTGTATGTTATATGTTTTATATACTGTATTCTTACAATAAAGCTAAAGAAAAGAGAATGTTATTAAGAAAGTCATAAGGAAGAGACATAGATTTCCTATCTATTAAACGGATCATCATAAAAGTCTTCATCACTGTCAACATCATGTTGAGTAGGAGGAGGAGGAAGAGGAGGGACTAGTCTTGCTGTCTCAGGGGTGGCGGTTCATCTGCAAGTTTTTTCAAATTGTAGCAAATCTCAAAAAAAAATTCCCAATATATTTTTTGAAAAATACAAGTATAAGTGAACTCATGTAGTTCAAATCCATGTTATTCAAGGGTCAACTGTATATATATGTAAAATAATATTTGGAAGATATTTTGGGATTATAGAGGTGGAGGAGGGAGAGGTGAGGACCGTGGGCAGGTCCTGAGTTTCTGGTTTATTTGGGGTAGACTGAGACACTGCATGGGGAGGATGAGCACAGTAGATGGGGGAAGTGGGGAGATGGTGAGTTTGTCTTCGACCTGCTGAGTTCAGGGTATCCGTGGGGCAGCAAGAGGACAATATGCTATGAGCAGATAGAAAATCAACAGTAGCAACTTTTCCATTTTTTACTTCGACCTATGTTCTTGATAAAAAAATTCCAGAAGACAAATTATAGCATCATAGGAAACTTTGCAACTTCTGCTGCTTTATTGAAGGATGATTTTTAGTCTCTAAGCTGTGTCAAGTTGTTATTCTTTATTGTGAAAGGACAGGAAGGGGAGGGGAGGGAACAGGAATAAAGAAATCTGTAAAAACAGATGCCTGATTAAATCCCTGACCTAATAAAGTCCCTCGCCTGTACTCGGTGTCTCCCACCTTACAAAGCAATTTACTTTAAGCTTTGATGAATCCAGGTCCTTACGGCAATCCTGGAAGGAGACACCCCATTTCACAACCCAGACACCCAGGCCTAGTGAAGCCGGGCTTATGGGCCTGGAGCCTATGGCATCCAAGGCGCAGAACTGCAACGTGACCCAGTATTCAGATTCTCTGTCCACTCTCTCTCCTATGCCCACTTCACCTCAGCAGGGCCCTCCTGGGGCAGGCCGAGGAACCTGGAGTCTCTGAAGCCCAGGTCCCACAGCTGCCAAGCCTGCAACTTTGTGCAGTTGCAGAGTTTGAACTTTAAATTGGGCAGGGACCATGAGGTCCCTGAAAGCAGGGGGCAAGCAGACTGTCTATGTGGCAGGGGAGCAAGAGGCAGGTCCTGGGAGGCAGTGGCAGGGCGAGGTGCGGGGAACCTAGCCCATCCCAGCACCGTGCACTTGCTCATAATGAACTCGGCACTTCCCAAACCACAGCTCCCCTCACCTGGCTCCAGCTCCCTACAGACATTTAGGCCATGGCCAGTAGGTGAGAGGTAAGGAGATTTCATCTGACCCATTGCTTATTCTCAAGAAATCATTTAAAACATTTAAAAGCCAAAATATTTGCTGGGGGACAGGGATAGGGACAGGATGGTAATAATATCATCTACTGCTCACTGACTATTTACCAGTGCCAGGCTCTGTTCTAAGAGCTTCGCATGCTTCCTGTCACTGGATCCTTAAAACAAGCCCACAAGGAAATACTGCCGTCTCCATGGTATAGGTAAGGAAGCTGAGGCTGAGAACATTGTTAACAAGTGGAAGAGCTGGGGCTTGGACCCTAGTCCCGTCTGACTCCAGGGCCATCCTCATCTTCTCTGCCACACAGCCAGGAAGCAGGAATCCCAGATCCAGGCATTTCGGGGAAATTGTAACCGAAGCTTTCTTCTTGTTATGCCCCTATCTTTTCTTTTAAAATAATTTGTGAAGCCTAAAATAAGTATTAAGTGGTTAAAATTAGATTTACCAGACAATGAGACTGATATGTCAGTTAGCTTGCAAAGTAACCCTGGGTCTATCAGACCTCAGGTTGGAAGTTGCTAGAAACATATGAGGAAATGTTTCAGAGATTACAGCATATCGGAGATCGCTTAATTGGCTCCACTTCTCAGAAGGAGAAATCTGACCAAAGTCATACAGCAGAAAAGGAACAAAGGCCCCGATTCAAACCTGGGACGTGCCCTCCCAGTCCAGGGCTCATTCTAGGCATCACTCTGCTTCTCAAGAGGCGTAAAACCGGGGAGTGAAACCAGGCAGCTATTTTCAGAGACACTCCAGGTCCTATCCCTCTGTGACTCTGATCTTCCAGGCCATGACCGAGCGTGACACTGCGTGACACTGGTAGATGGCCACTAGAGTAGCTTTCTGAGAGTCATAAGACGCCATTGCACCCACATGCAGAGGAGCTGCTCAGCAGTAATTCTGGTTCTCCTCCTTCTGGGCAGGTGGTAGGATGCCGCAGGGCCAGTGGGCTGTGTGCAGATATGACAAATGTCTCCTGTGGCTCAGAGCAGCAAGAGCCTCCAGTGTGTCCTTCCCCAGCCATAACAACTGGTGACGTCCCACAGGGTGGAGCCTCCATCTGCCAGGGGCTCTGAGAACCCTGAGCCACCGGGAAAGCCACAGTAGACATGTAGCATGAGAAATAAAACTTCGTCATGCTAGCCACTAAAATGATGAGGTTGTACGTTACTGCAACATAACTTAGCCCATCCCAACCCAGCCACCATGGGAACCAGCTTCTATCTGATGTCCCAGCCTGTGCCCATGTTACAGGCAAAGCTGTAGGCAACCTGGTAACATGGCATTTTCTGGACACAGAGTTATTTCTTTAGGGCCACAAGCCAATGGTTTCGTGTGCTGGTTCTAGTTTCCATGAATGTGTTACGATCAGACTTTTAAGTTGTGAGGAAAACCCACCATGTTACTGATGTAGCTCTTCAGAAAGAGCAGGTGTTACTGCAAACAGGAGACTGGCACTGCCCAAAGCCCTTCTCCTAGCAATCACAATAGCTGTATCATTCTGTTGCGGTGTATGTGTTGGAGGGGGAAGGGGGAATTGATTTTGAGGCAAGACCTTGGGTTCAGCGTTCTTCGTTTGCTTTTTTAGAGAAAGGGCCTCACTCTGTTGCCCAGGCTGGAGTGCAGTGGCACAATCATAGTTCACTGTAACCTCGAACTCCTGGGCTCAAGTACTCCTCCCACCTCAGCCTTCTGAGTAGCTGTGACCACAGGTGCAAACCACCATGCCTAGGATCAGGATTTTTGGCAGAACAACACTGGATGTCAATAAATAGTTCAACTCAAATGGCAATCACTGACACCTCCTGGCTGCGGGTCACTGGAGGGTGACAGTGATGAAGGACACAGCCCTTTCACTGCAATAGCTCATAGTCTAGTCAGAGAGAGATATACAAGAAAAATGAACTATAATGAAGGCAGAATGAACTTAACCTCCACTAATAGCTGTGTGACCATCTTGTTGTCCGGGTGGTCAGTTTTATGAAGCCATCTGAGAGAAGGCTGCACGAGACAGTGGTGTGTGAACTGAGCCTTGAAGGATGAGTAGAAAAGAAAGGCACTCCAGCCTGAAGAAACTGCCCAAGAAGAGGGATGGGACTGGAGCACACAGGCTTTGTCCAAAAGACAGGGAGTGGTCTGATGAGGCTGCAGCAGGTGTGCATGAGGGATGCGGTGGAGGCAAGGCAGGAGGACGGGCCAGAGCCTGCACACACAAAAGCCCTCAAATGCCTCCGCCAGGCCCACTTGGTCTTACTGTTAGAGGTGTGAGTGATAAAGAAAAATGCAGTCAGGTGGTTTCCCACCCTTGGCCTGCTTGAAACCCCCACGCCTGTGTCCAGTGTCAGAATTTGAGATGGACATAGTTCTGTCTGCAGCAACACCCCCATCAGAAACAAAGCTCTTATAGTTCTGCTTTCCAGATTTCAGGTTTTACTTTGTCTTTACATCCCAGACTCAGAGAGAATCTCAGAGATCTAAAGCCTGGAGAGAGGAGGGGGAGGTGTCCAAAGTCACCGAGTGAGTGAATGAATGACTGCAAACTCCATGAGGGCAGGAGCCAGGTCTGTCTCTGCTGTATTCCCAGCACCTGGCCCAGGGCCTAACACATAGTAGGTGCTCAATAACTATTTGTTGAATAAGTGAATGAATGAGGCTTCACACTTGGGGAATTCTTTACTTTTTGCCAAACATCACCAAGAAAATCCCTAACTGTAGATGTTCACATGGATGATAGTTAAAGGTCAGTTACTGACCAAGATTACCCAAGTGCCCCTATATGTTCCTGAAACTGTCCTTTAAGAATCACCCTGATTCAGGGTAGAGGAAGGAAATCCTGCACAGGCTCTGGAGAAAGCTGGTGTCATGGAGGACACTGGAGCCCTTGTCCAGGAGGTGGCTAGTATAGATGGAGCAGGAACCTGTAGATAGAGGAGGCACCTGTAGCTGATGATGGATGCCATCCTCCATCCAGCCTCAGTAACAGGTCATTGCACCCCCCGGGGCAGCACCTTCAGGTGTATGTTTCCTCTGAGCTACATAGCATCCCAGTCTTCAAGGAGGAAGCTGAGTCTGAGAGAGGTCAAGTGTCTTGGTCAGTGTCACACAGCTAGTCTGAACTACAGCCAGGAGGCAAAGCTGGGTTTTGGAGTCGTGCATTCGCTATCTGCTGGGTGCCTGCTATTGGCAGCACTTGCTGCATGAGGTGCTGGTAGGAAGGAGGCAGAGTCCTGCTCTTAAGGTGTAGTAGAGAAGACAGGTGCACCACAGCGCACAATGACACAGAGGGATGGCCAAGGGCAGTGGGAGCACAAGAAGGCAGCAGGTAACAGCAAGGGGAAGGAGAGGGAGGAAAAGAGATGGAGCAGTGCTGGGCTCTGGAGAATGGGCAGAACACCCCCCACTGGGGATGGGCGGGAGGACACGCCTCCATCTCGGACAAAGGTGCGGAGCTGGGAAAAGAGATGGTTTCTTCAGGAAAGGGTGAGCCCTGCAACTCGACAAATCGTGGATACAACGAAACAGGAGGAATAAGAGAAAGAAGAAATCTAGCCCGGAAGGACAGACAGGGCTCCACTGCTGTCACAAAGCACTGTCCTCACAACCAACCCAGGAGCGAAGGGCAGGAGGGGAGAGGTGGATTATATCTTCTGAGTGATAAAAGTTCACACTCAGCTCCTATTTTTCCTTCAGACCAGGGGCCACCTGGCCATAAGACATTTTTCCAGTTCTAACAAGACTACTGTTCTCTGGACACACCTGGGCTTCCTCCTAGGAATACCTGACGCTGGCCTTTCCCGAGGAGAAGTGAGAGCAGCTCTGCATGGCGATGGAGGTCACCTGGGAGAGACCACAGCCTCGCCCACCGCTCCCTTTGCAAAGCTGGTCACAACTGACCGCACCTCCACCAGATTCGTGCCTGGCTTCCCTCCTCGTGTGACATCATTGTCAGTATCATTTCTCCTACAAAGCAATATGGAGGCCAGAAAGTAAGTTGCTTGGCTTTCATGACCACAGTTCAGTCCTGTGACCAGTAACTCTATTGAGACATGTACGTTCTTATGTGTCCTTTTAAACAAAATAATGAATGGTCCATGATTCCTTAAGGAGAGATGACCAGAAATCAAGCTTACACATCCTATGGGGCTGAAATATTTGATCTTCATGGCCCAAGGAACACTAGGTGAGCATCATCCATTACCCACCTGCCTTCCGGAGCTCATCTCACCTGACTCAGGGAGTGGGGCAGCGCCTGTGACAGGTGTGGAATCCTTTTGTCCACTTACTTTCCTTACTGCTATAGCCCCAGCACCTGATACCTAGCACAGAATAGGTACTTAATAAATACTTAGTGGATGAATAAATCTGAAATACTATGGCCATAATTTGGTCACATGAAACCGTAATGTAGAAAAGATGCTTCCTGTTAATGACCAAAAACACTTTGGATTCCAAACGATCATTTTAAACATGAATCTTTCTCTGCTGTCTCCTCTGACCCCATCCTGGGGAGAGCAGAGAGGAGCCTAGGGGACTAGAATGTGCCCCATCCTCCCCTCAGTGACGTCCACAGAACTGCAGCGCTGAGAAGGCCAGATTGCAGATCTGAAGTCCAACTCCCTCATTATACAGATGGTGAAACTAAATTCCAGAGAGGGAGGCTGACCTGCTGCAGCTCAGACATCAGGTCACTGGGCTCCCAGGCCAGTTGGAGCTTTTTCCAAAAAGCTGGGTGGTCCAGATGGAAAAGGAGAGAGAATGAGATGAAGTGGGCAAACCAGACAGCTGTGACGGAATACGTCCTGATGGGGCTACACGAGCACTGTAACCTGGAGGTGGTCCTGTTTGTGTTCTGCCTGGGCATCTACTCCGTGAATGTGTTGGGGAACGCCCTCCTCATAGGGCTGAACGTGCTGCACCCTCGCCTGCACAACCCCATGTACTTCTCAGCAACCTCTCCCTCATGGACATCTGCGGCACCTCCTCCTTTGTGCCTCTCATGCTAGACAATTTCCTGGAAACCCAGAGGACCATTTCCTTCCCTGGCTGTGCCCTGCAGATGTACCTGACCCTGGCGCTGGGATCAACGGAGTGCCTGCTGCTGGCTGTGATGGCATATGACCGTTATGTGGCTATCTGCCAGCCGCTTAGGTACCCAGAGCTCATGAGTGGGCAGACCTGCATGCAGATGGCAGCGCTGAGCTGGGGGACAGGCTTTGCCAACTCACTGCTACAGTCCATCCTTGTCTGGCACCTCCCCTTCTGTGGCCACGTCATCAACTACTTCTATGAGATCTTGGCAGTGCTAAAACTGGCCTGTGGGGACATCTCCCTCAATGCGCTGGCATTAATGGTGGCCACAGCCGTCCTGACACTGGCCCCCCTCTTGCTCATCTGCCTGTCTTACCTTTTCATCCTGTCTGCCATCCTTAGGGTACCCTCTGCTGCAGGCCGGTGCAAAGCCTTCTCCACCTGCTCAGCCCACCGCACAGTGGTGGTGGTTTTTTATGGGACAATCTCCTTCATGTACTTCAAACCCAAGGCCAAGGATCCCAACGTGGATAAGACTGTCGCATTGTTCTACGGGGTTGTGACGCCCTCGCTGAACCCCATCATTTACAGCCTGAGGAATGCAGAGGTGAAAGCTGCCGTCCTAACTCTGCTGAGAGGAGGTTTGCTCTCCAGGAAAGCATCCCACTGCTACTGCTGCCCTCTGCCCCTGTCAGCTGGCATAGGCTAGGTTGTGCTGTGGTCATGACCTCAAACCTTGAGAGGCTTAAAGCCATTAAGGTTTGTTTCTTGCTCCTGATGCAGGTCCACCAGAGGCTGGTGGGGCTTCTGCTCCGCATCATGGTCTTCACCCCTCTGGGACTCAGGATGACAAAACAGCTACCATTGGGAACACTGCTGGTCACCATGACAAAAAGAAAAGGGAAAGTAACAAAGCCTACACTGACTCTTAAAGCTTCTACTCAGAAGTGGCTGTGTTGCCTCCACCTACATTTCAGTGGCCAACACAATGGCAACAGGAAGGCACAGGACCACACCTATTGTTAAGGGGGAAAAGCACACTATCGTGTGTCTGGATGGCAAACGAGAGGGACAGAGAGATTTGTGAATGGCCTAATGACTACCACACCAGCTGACAGTGTCAACCCAAGAGCTATGGGAGGTTTGGCTTTCTTTATCCTGACCATCTATCCTTCACGGGCTGCTGCCAAGTTAATCGTCCCAAGAAAGCTCTGGTTAGCTCACGTGTGGTAGCTTTATACTGAGTCAACCAAACTAGGTTAGAGGGTGTGGGTTAGGGTTGGCCACAGAGAAGTTTGCATGTGATTTGGAAGGCAAAAGTGGGCCAGGTGTGGTGGCTCATACCTGTAATCCCAGCACTTTGGGAGACCGAGGTGGGAGGATCACCTGAGGCCAGGAGTTCGAGACCAGCCCGGGAAATGTGATGAAACCCTGCCTCTACTAAAAACACAAAAAATTAGCCAGGTGTGGTGGTGCACCTGTAATCCCAGCTACTAGGGAGGATCGCTTGAACTTGGGAGGTGGAGGCTGCAGTGAGCTGAGATGGCGCCACTGCACTCCAGCCTGGGCAACAGAGTGAGACTCCGTCTCAAAAAAAAAAAAAAGAAAGAAAGAAAAAAAATGGAACAGCACCAGACACAGTGAGGGCACCCCCATGTTGCTCATCTGCTGGCTCCCCATTAGCACAGCCTGTCCAGTCCCCACCAGGTCACCTCCTTCCACTGTGCTGAGTGCTGGGCCAAGTGCAAGCTCCATGGCAAAGGTGACAGCTTCTCCTGCAGGTCACCAGTCACTGAGATTGAAGGCATAAGAGCCAGGCACAGGTTCCAGTTTGTCCTTCTGGATTCTAGTGTGCCCTTACTGCCCCTCACTTCACACTCAGCCTTCTTTCCTAACTGCTGGCCCAGCTGAGCTGTAACAGCTTCAGGCCCAACACCAAATGCAGAAGTAACAGTTTTGCACAGATTTCTCCAACTGCTCCCATGACTGTAAAGGTCTAATCTTTTTATCACTCATAGTGGTTCTGTTACTTTGGTCAAACCTGGATTGATTCATCACTCTTCTGATCAAGGACTTTTGACAGCTCCCATTACCATTAAGTCCAAATTCTTCAGTTGAATCCTCAAGGCCCTCCAGAATCTGCCCCCACCTGCTTCTTCAGCCTGATTTTCCACTATGCCCTTCACATGGCTGTCCCCTCGCTACATTATCTGTACTGCCGCACCCCCATGTCTTCGCACCCTTGTATGTATTGTGCTGTTCTCTGATAATAGCTGGGACTAGTTTTCAAAGCTAGGTTAGACACCATCTCTCTCATGCATCCTTTCCCATTGCACTTTGAGATCGCTCTCTTTACATCCTACAGCACTTTGTCAGGATCTTCCACTTCACACTTGTCCCATCTAACTTGCATTCATGACACTTCACCACCGTGTGAGCTCCTTCAGGGCAGGATTCAGTCGGGTCTGGCTCATCTCTGTAGCTCCCACAGCATGTTCCCTATGGAAGGTTTGCGGGACTGAATTGTCACTCAGAAGCTTTCAGAACATCACCCTGTGGGGATTGAGCCCTGTGCTGCTGAACATGCCCCAGGCAGCTGCAAGTGCTCAGGGGTCTCAGTCCAGTCGTATGTACAGATACATGCAAGGGTACAGCAATATCTGCCAGCCACAGCCCTGTATTCAAGGCAAGGAAGGGCTGTTTGAATCTTGGGATCTCCCCCACTGAGACAAGTCAGGAGACAACCAAGGATTCCCATTTTGGGAGCCTGGAGACAGGCCTGGTTCAGCGGCTACGTCCAGCACTGTCATATTGCTGGCCCCCTTCCCTCCGGGAATCCCACATGCACCTCAAACTGTCCAAAGTGGAGCTCATCTTCCCCCCACCCAAAGTGGTGTCACCATCTCAGGGAATGGCACCACCATCCCCAAATCAGAATATCACCATCATCCTAGGCTCTCTCATACCTCACCACCCCACACACCCAATCAGTCACCAAGTCCTAAAGAGTTCACTCCTAACAGCTCTTAAATTGGTCCCCTCCTTTCCACCGATATTGCTTTAAGAAGGCTTCACCATTTCTCTTTCAAATGTTCCAATAGCTGTGGTCACTGCACTTTGTCCTCCAAGGTCTCCCAAAGTCCATCCTCTGCCCCAGCCATCAAAACCCCAATCTGATGTTCCTCTCCTGCTTAATCTCTCCAATGGCTCCTCATTTCCCATAGAATAAAGACCCAACCTCCACTTATCTATCTAATCATATCATTGGCTGCTTACCTCCACCACCCCACTCCACACACAAAAGCATGCGCACATGCACTGGCCCAGGCACACTGAACTATTCAGTGCCCGGAGTAAATATCAGTCTTTCCTGCCTCTGCATTCCCCCTTGCTGTTCCCTCTCCATGTCCAAACACGTGGTGACCTTAAGCTAACATATATTGGACCACATCACATACCAGACTAGGCACTATACAAGTGTTCTAAGAGCTTTACTGACTGAAGACCACAGGGAGTGATGAAAATCTCAGGGAAGGGATGCCATGTGGACACTGGTGACCACAAAGAACACTCTCCCATTATCTTAGCATCATGGCAACTCAGCTAATCCTAGTTCAAATGTCCCTCTTCCCAGACGCCCCTCATGACCCCTCCTCACTGGGAGGGATGCACCCCAGCTCCGTCTCCCACTTCAGAGCCTTCTGTACTCTGCTGACTCTGTCCAGAATCCCAGCTATTTGGGTTCAAGCATCCCAGTGACCTGGCTCTATACGTCTTAATGTGGTATTTCTGATGTAGGAACAGTATTTTCTAAAATGGGAACAGACACCTAGCTCACACCTCCTCACTGCTTCTCACTACTCACTTGGCCACACCATTCTCTGCTCAGTGCCCCATGGAAGAGACGTGATTGCAGAAAGCAGATAACAAAGGCATGTTTTCCTGGCTTTTGGGTTTCAAAAGCCTAGGTCCTGAAGGGAACAGAAAAGGCTTAAGGCATAGATAAAAGATTCAGGAGAGGCCAGGCGCGGTGGCTCACAACTGTAATCCCAGCACTTTGGGAGGCCGAGGCGGGTGGATCACCTGAGGCCGGGAGTTTGAGAGCAGCCTGACCAACATGGAGAAACCCCATCTCTACTAAAAATACAAAAATTAGCTGGGCTTGGTGGTGCACACCTCTAATCCCAGCTACTCGGGAGGCTGAGACAGGAGAATCACTTGAACCCGGGAGGCAGAGGTTGCAGTGAGCTGAGATCGCACCATTGCATTCCAGCCTGGGCAACAAGAGCAAAACTCCGTCTCAAAAAAAAAAAGATTCAGGAGAAAACATTAAGTAAGGCTTCCTCACCTCCAATATTAACGAAAGGGGGAAAGAAGAGAGAGGAGGAGAGGATGTAGTGAGAATACTGACACAGAGGGTCCCAAAAGGAAGAGTCCCTGAGCTCCACACCCCAGGCCAAGATAGATTTGCAGTTTTAACAGATGCAGCAACTCATGCCTTGTCTGTCAAAACCCAGAGCAGAAACAGCTTCAAGGTGTGTCTGCATAGCCAAGGCCTTAGACAACTTTACGGGTCTCCACATATGGCCCAGAAGTGGCAGAGAGAACCTTAGGACTGAGAGAGTAATGCAAATGGGAACAAGAAATCTCTCTGCATCCCAGATGAACTGTCTGGACCTCTGACTGGGGACCAGATGGAATGATGGAAATCCCGGGGATGGATGAAGTATGGACACTGGTGATCAGTGAGAATGCTCTCCCAACTTCTTGGCATTATGTAAGACCCTCAGAACTCAGCTATGACCCTCATGGAAAGAGAAGGAATCCCAAATGGACAAATGATCTTTTCTGGCACTCAGGAAAAATGGGGGCTCAAAACAGAAGTTACATTCTTGTGATATTTCTTGCACACCTGAGACGTGTACCTGCTATTCCAATTTCCTGGGACCTCGGCTTCCTTCTGTGTTGGGTGTGGGCATCATAAGGAAAGTCTGTCTCACTGATTTAAATCATCTCAGCATACGTATACATACATAAACACACACACACACACACACACCCCTCAGATACTGCAAATCGGGCTCAATAGGAATTGGGGAATAGGCATTAGAAACTGTTTAGAAATGAATGCAGGGCCCAGATGAGCGGGATCAGACTGTGTACAGGGTGTGACAAAAGCCTCCGGCAGTAGCTCCCATCAGCCCTGCTGATTCCCTGAGGGGCCCTCTTTCCCCACTTCCCCACACCCCTGACCCCAGGGGGAAAAAAGGCATCACAGAACCATTCTGAACCAATCAATCACTGGAGACACACAGACTCCACCTGTATCAAACGAGGATACCAGCCACCCAGACAGCCCCAGTCCCAGCTCCATCCATCCTGCAATCCCTCCTCCACAGCACAGCACAGCCCAGACGCTGCCTCTGGGAAGGAAGCCTGAGGCCAGAGTTGCTGAGCCTCTGGGAAAATCTGGAAATTTGGTTTCCCCAAGATAGACTCCACCTCCTCTGGAAAGATGCTGTGCTCCTGACAGGGCTTTGTCTCCCTGGGAAGGAATCCATGTCTTGGGAAGGCTCTGCATCCCAGGAAAGGCTCCACACCTGCAGGAGGGACTCCTTGGTCCTGAGGGACTCTGTGCCTGCATAGGCTCCAGTCCTTAAGAAGGACTCCATGATGCAGGGGGACTCCAGGCCCTCAGGAAGTTCTCCATGTCCTGGGAAGGGCTCCAGGTCCCTGGAAGAGTTTTGTGTCCTTGAGAAAGACTCCATGTCCTCAAGAAATACAGCCTGTCTCCTTCTAAGAGGGCTCCACACCCCCAGAAAGAACTCTAGGAAGCATTCATATCCCCTCAGGGCCAGGCCCAAAGCCCCTCTCAGCTGGCACAGATGCTGCTGACAGTGGCCCCTCCTGGGCCCACGAGGCCCAGCTCCTCCTGCTCGTTGATGCATAGCTGGTAACCACAGCCCCGGGCCCGGGCTCCAGATGGGACCCCGTGGTCAGTCTTGGCACGAGGGGGCAGCAGGAAGCCCACACTGCCCGCAATGAGCATATGCCAAATGCTGTGAATGTAGAAGTAGTTGTCCCGGGTCTCCACAAAAGCATAAAGCAGGACGGCACTGCCTGCAATAAGGCTGCCAGGGCACAAGTAGAAAAGCCAGCGGCGCCACGTGGGTGGGTAGCAGTGCCGGCGGCGGACGCTGCGTACTGTCTGGGGGAGACAGAGAAGTGGGGCTCAGGAATGCCAAGCCCTGGAACCCAAGCCAGAGCTGGTCACTCTCAGGTTTCCTCTGTATCCTGGTTGTGACCTAAAGACACCTGCCAAGACTGGAGCGGACACTGCCAGCAGCAGGTGATGACGACAGAGCCAAGCCCACCTTAAACTGGGGACCAGATACCTGGGGCCCAGCACCCAAGTCCTGCTGGGACCCTCCCCCCACATCCCTCCCCACCCTTACCCAGGCTGTGGCCAAGATCCCCAGGGCGAAGAGACTGGGTCCAAGCAGGTTCCAGAGTCCATGTCGGTCAAGCTGCAGAGCCATGGACAGCAGCATAGCTCCCAGCAAATACAGCACCTAGAGAAAGAGACTCAAGGGCTGGGCTAGGGCCAGGTGACAGACAGCACTCCAGGGCCTGGGTCAGAATCATGAGAGGCACTTGGAAATGCCCCCAGGGAGAGGTCAGGAGTGGATTTCAAGGAGACTTGGCCATGGTTGTTCCCCAGGGCCCACTCTGGACTGACCTGCTTGACCACGGGCTGTAAACGAGCCATGGCAATGACAGTGACCCACACGGACATTAAGGAGCCCAGGAAATCACAGAACTGCAGCACATCGTAGTCCATGATGCAGAAAACCACGATGCCTGGCTGGTCACAGGCATGATAGAACTGAAGGAAGAAATGACAGGCATTGAGAGAACTTGAGGCAGAGGTCCAGATCTACAAAACCGGAGGGGTGGGCCCAGGGGTGGTGTGCTGCTGTCAGTGCAGCAGAGGTGAAAGGTCACAGATGAGAAGATCTGGGAAATGCCTGACTCCCCAAATCCTGAGAAGAATGTGGTAAGGAGGTCCAGTCTGCTACATAACTAATATGTATCTGGCAGCCCTGACCCTGACCCTGAGCTTCCTAATCTTCCTGCTTCTGGAAGGTGCTGTGGAGAGTGCCCTGCCAGGGGGTTCTGATACCCTCAAGCTGAGGCCAATCCTGTCCCTGTCTCCTCATGCTCACCATGGATCCCACCTATAATCCCCATCCCTGGCCCAAGCTCTAAGCTACCCAGAAACCAAATCTCCCCACTATGTCCCAGTTTCCCCTGCTAGCTCAGACTCTGAACTGGGCTTCACTCTCAGGGCTTCCACCAACTGACCCTCTTCATCCCTTCCCAACAAATGCGGGGAGTGTGTGGCAGGTAAGAAAAAAGGCAGTCCCTAAGGCCATGGAGAGAGGCATGGCACTTCACACCATGGGGAAGAACATGGAGAGGGGACAGTGTCCACCCATCCTACACTCTGGAGAACATAGTGAAGAGTGGACTATTGAGGAGGTTCAAAGGGGATGCAGGGAGCAGAAGTGGAATCGGATCAGACTCAACTGGACATCCTAATTAAGGAACCAAGCAAAGTCTGCCATTAGCTCCCTTGTCTGTAGTTCCAACCCATGTCCAGATTGTCTCTCTGGACAATGCCATGGCTTCCAGCATCCTGTGTTCCCTTATTTGTGAAAAAAGTTTTCTAGGCATAACTCTTTAGTGGCAGAGATGCCACCAAAAAATCTGGAAAACATATTCCAAAGTCAGTCTCTAGAGACAAAAGATGAAAAAGAAATCGCTAATGTTTCCTTTGACCCTACTGAAGATGTCATCCAATCATTTAAACTGCAAAAATTACAACTTCAACAGACAAATTTGGAAAGGAAGAAGCTAGGATCTTAGAAAAAGAAAACAAAATGAAGACGAAAACCTGGGATATAAATTGGCATCAGGAAACTTTGGGTTTGATTCCTTTAAATTTTAAGCTGCAAGACTCAAGCTTGCGTATCTATCTTCTTTCTTTTCCTTCACTTTGGAGGTAAAGAATTTTGCTCCTGCAAAAAGAGACTGCCTAAGGATGAACATGTTTTAAGTGGGTGTTCCAGGCTTTCGAAAGGGCTTGTTATTTTGGGGACATGGTTCCCTCTTAATATACTGTTAAATTGAAAAAGTGAGTTCTCAATGGGAAATTTTCAGACTTTTCATGTAGGTCCATATCAACATTAGAATGAATTTTTTTAGGTTGGGTGCAGTGGCTCACGCCTGTTAATCCCAGCACTTTGGGAGGATGAGGTGGGCAGATCACTTGAGCCCAGGAGTTAAAGACCAGCCTGGGCGACATGGTGAAACCCCCATCTCTACAAAACACACAAAAATTAGCTGGGCACGGTAGCGTGTGCCTATAGTCCCAGCTACTTGGTGGGGAACAGGGAATTGGCGGGGGTGGGGGGCAGAAGGGGCTGAGGTGGGAGGATTGCTTGAGCCCAGGTCAAGACTGCACTGAGCTGTGATCATGCCACTGCACTCTGCCCTGGGTGACAGAACGAGACCCTCAAAAATAAATAAATAAATAAAAATGGTTAAGTAATTAATGTTTGAATACACCTAAGAGACTGGTTTATTTTTCAACTATTTGTATGTGCTGATTCATTGGGAGTTAATTTAGTTCCTAAACAAATCAATATATTGGTCTTTTTCTATTTTAGCTATAGGAAATTGATTATTCTTTGCCTCCAAGACCAGACATAAGTACTATAGGCCACTAAATTACCCAATACTGTTTTATGACTTGGATTTTATTTTAAAGAACTAATTTTACATCCAGCCTTAACCAAGCACTGGCTCCATATGCTTCACTTTCAAGTATATAGAAAGAAATACCCAGAAGTTTCTGGGAGAGAGATTTGTACTATATTTCAGACAAAGGAAGATATATATCAGCAGAAAAAAGGCAAAGCTGAATCACTAAACATTGAAGACACATCTAGGGGAATAATTGAGGGCTGACTTTCTCCTAGGAATTTGCACTAAAAGAAGAATAAAGAAAAATGGAGATATTATCTCTAGAGTGGAGAGGATTTGAAGAAATCATTTCACTAATATTTTACGACTAATTATTTTCCAGGTATACTAAAAGGTCAAAGAGATTGTTTAAGGTTGTGAAAAATCCACAGGGGTAGAGTTAAATTAAAATTGTAGTGTGAGGGAATTAGTCCACTAAAAACCGTGGACTAATTTTTAGATTGGCATTCCTTTTGTCAACAGCAATAAAAAGAAGTAGAAGTGACATAGAAAAATCAGGGAATTTAAGAAAAAAAAATTAGACTACAAACTGACTTCTATTAATATAATTCTAATCTAAGTTGATAACTTTCTCAGCTTTGGCCATTATTTATGAAGCAATGTAGGGAAATTATCCTGCAAGGTTTTTTTTCTGTGGAATTTTACATTTTTGTAACAGTGCATCTAATGCTCCAAAATGGGCTATCCAGGCACTGCAGAATGTGGACTATAAACGCAAACGTAGTTAATCCATGCCCAGATTGGAATATAATGGAACTTGCTGTTACTCCCTTATTTCCTGTTTTCTGCTTTCATTTTCTCTTGGAAACAGTTATGGGATTTTGCCAAGAGACAGTGAGAATGACCTGGGATGGTCTGAGGGATATAAGGCGTAATGAGAAGGTGGGCTTGTAGCCAGGATGCCAGCAATCAGCAAGGACACCTGCACAGCCCCAGAATGCCAGCTCTGTCTGGGTCTTCTGAGATCTAATTACAAGGATTCAAGGAGCACTGTGATGGATACACAGTTTGAACAGTACGGGTTCAAGTTGCACAATTAAAATGTTTGATATCTTTGTCCTGATGGTTTCTTATATTTGGCTTAGTTGTATTTTCAGATCTCTTGATCGGCTCTTATCTTTTAAGAATTTGGTGAGAACTACTAAACTGGGGCCATGCCTTTTTCTACATACTCCAGGACTTAAGAGAAACTGAAGTTGGGTTAAAAGCATATCAATGCATGCTCACTGCCCTGGTGCAAAGGGAGCAATATCATCTGTTACATGTGAGGGATCTGGAGTCAGGCTCACCCAGATTCTAAGGTAGATACTCACCTTCTACCTCAGGCAAAATATTTAACTTTCCCTTATCTACAAAAAAAGGATGACAAGAATAAAAGCATGTATCAACTATAACAGTACTATTGTGAGGATTAAATTAGCAGTGTCTGAAACAGCACATATTCAGTGTATGTCATTTTGTTGTAATCATTATCTGAATTGTTTGCCTATATACAAAAATCAAATGCTAAGTTTGTGGCCTGTTTTTGTTTTTTCAAAACATATTTTACATCTGTAAACTCCTGAATTATAAACCTACTGTCTGCTCCTATGTTCCAGATAAGAATGGATTACTACTCCCAAGTGTAGACTGTCCTGGATTATTTGAAGACAAGGAAGAGGACTGTTATCTCCTGTCCTAGTACTGACAACTGCAATTTGACCAATGGGTCCTTAAATGGACACTGCTGCAGAATGAAATAAGTCTACGAATGGCAAGGAGGGACCACAGAGAACCTGCAGGGAAAACAGAAAACATAGTTTTATGTTCTGGCCCATGTGGAAAAGAACAGGAGTGAGAGCAGGACTTTAGGCAACAACTCAAAGCCAGTAGCTTTTCCTTATTGCCTTATTTAAGAAAATGTGAGATTTTGGCCCGGCGCAGTGGCTCACACCAGTAATCCCAGCACTTTGGGAGGCCAAGGTGGGTGGTTCACGAGGTCAGGAGATCGAGACCAACTTGGCCAACATGGTGAAATCCTGTCTCTACTAAAAATACAAAAATTAGCTAGGTGTGGTGGCATGCGCCTGTAGTCCCAGCTACTCAGGAGGCTGAGGCAGGAGAATCGCTTGAACCTGGGAGGCGGAGGTTGCAGTGAGCTAAGATCGCGCCACTGCACTCCAGCCTGGGCAACACAGCAAGACTCTGTCTCAAAAAAAAAAAAAAAAAGAAAAAAAACAAAGAAAGAAACCGGGAGCTTTTTATGTGGTGCCAGGCACTTGAGGCTCTCCTAGTACTCCTGCTACAGGGAAGGTCTTTTCAGGCTGACAGCCACTGTATCCAGATAAGGAAGAGTCATCTAGCACTGAACACTCTGGAGCCAATCAGGATACTTGTGTCAAGTCCAGAGAGTGAATATGCTCTCCCTACATGCTTCAGGCTCCTGACACACTTAGGTATTCTTACTAATTATGAATCACATTCGATCTGCATGTAGCCGAGAGTGGGCTGGTAGAACAGCTGTTGCTGGAGGATTTGGTGAGCCACAGTAGAAAGGGCATCTGGCAATACGAAAGAGAAACAGTGTCTAACATAAAAATAGAATGAGGCACTGTGGGGGCAGGCCTAAAAAGGGGCCAATCAAGCAAAACTGGGGTATATGCTTCTCACCCAGCTTAAAGGGCCAAGATCTCTCTCTGCAGCATGGTTGCAGACTCTTCTTCCTCATCTCTGGATGAATCTCCAGGAGGACCCAGGCCCCTCAGTTTCAGCACATTTGCCCCTGCTTTCTCCCAGATGAGAACTATGATTTTTCTAATTTAGACATATGTCTGACCTAGTAATGCAGGATGCCAGGAAGGCCTGTCTTGCTTTCTGTGATATCCTTGCTGACAAGGCCTGAGCAGTCTGAAACCATCTAAGAGTTTTTGCAGTGCTCACATGCATGTCACATGGTGCCAAGAGCCTAGAGATGAGTTGAAAAGATTCCCAGATGTGACACTTCAGGGGTAAAAAGTCTACTTGGGGGTTAAGTAACATTAGCAGGCTCACTTCTCTACCTTTCCTTATAGTTTCTGGACGCTTGCTTATAATGAACTTTTCTGATTATGGAGGAGTGAGGAAAACACAGGAAAGAGATTGTGGCAATTCTGCAATGGGAATGGAGGGGTTTTAAACTATATTAATCTTCATCAAAATGCACTCCTTTGAGCTGGGATGTGATATGACACTGCCACTTCCGACAATGCCTCAGGACATAGTTGAGTCTGTAAAGCTTCTCAGGACTCTGAGAGTCAGATTGTCCTATAATCCCCCAATAGAGAGATCCCCTCTATCTTTCCAAAGTTCTCATGAGAAATCAAGGTGGCATGGTGACTGAATGGGAACGCCATTTCAGACCACAGGAACGAACGTGCTAACGATGTGCAGGTCCCCAGTGCGACGGAGAAGGGGAGCTCAGAGTAGCTAGCTAGCTCTCATATCATGGAAGAATGTGGTGAAGATGAAGACACTGTGTGCAGAGGTGTGGGGGAAAGCATAGATTTCCTGCCCCCATACAGAGAACATGGTGACTGTGCAGACACAAATCCATACTTTAGGCCAGTTTCTTGGCCCATGATTTGAGTAAAGGTCCCCTCAGCCCTCAGGGTGGACAGAGTGTGGAACAGCTGGAGGCCCAAACTTACTTTATTAAGTTGCAAACAGTTTTGTTCATTTACTCCAATGTGTCTTACAAAAATGACCATTATCTATGCATGACAGTTTGGGAAGCACTGCTGTCTCTGTCTGTAGAAGACACAGTGAAGGCACAGACATTCCCAAACCCTCGGAGAACGTGGTGGAAATACAGACTGTGACCCACCACCATGCACAAGCACCCAGTGATAAGATGCAGACACCACCGCATACCGTGGAGAAGAACATGGTGAAGGTGTAGACTGCAGCTTCCAGCACATATCGACTCCGAATGGCCAGGACCACAGGTGGCAGAAACATGAGGTTGCTCAGGCAGAGCAGGAGTGTGGACAGCAGCTGGAATCCATAGGTGAGCGCATCTGCACTGTCGGTGCAGCCCCAGCCTCTCCACCCTGCGGGTGGGGAAGGCACAGAATGGAAGAGAACAGACGGCAGCTATGGGCCTACGCCACAGCTTGTGGAGGGTGGTCTCACCCCGGCTCTGCCAAACCCGTCCCCAATTCAGGCTGCGCACTCCCCTACTCCCGCCGCCTGCCCACAGGCCCAGCAGGTCCACCTCCAGTCCACCGCAGCCCGCTCCCTCGCCAGCCTGCTCACCGGCCTTGCACTCGCAGGCTGCGTACAGATAATTGTGTGTGCGCAGCAGCTTGCACTGGCCGTAGGGCCCGCAGTCGTCCACGCATGGGGACAGGAAGGTGCGCATCCGCACCTCGGCCGTCGCGTTGCGGCACCGCACGAACCTGCGCACAAACTCGCAGTCACCTGGGGCCCCGGGCCACCCCCGCCAAGTCCCGGTCCCAGCCCTGGCCCCGCCCCGCACCGCTCACCGAGGCCCCACCCCGCACAGGGAGCGGAGGGCCAGGAACCAGGTCCCCGTCTGCGGGAATGGGATTCGCAGCCTGGCAACCCTGGTGGTGGCACTGACAGAGAGGAGGAAGCCGGCCAGGGACTCTGAAGGGAGAAGGAAGGAGTCAGTGAGAGGGAGGAGGGGTCAGAACCCAAGAACCCTCACCCACCTGCTCCCACTTCCCGGAACCCTAGCCTATCATTCCTCCATTCCATCCCTCCCCACCTTCACCTCTGCCCGCCACCACCACCCCCACACTGCAGCTTCCTCTCCTCCCCCATTCCTCACCTCACCTTTGGAACAGGTCACTGCTGCATCCCCCAGGCTCAAGGGCACCTCGTGAGTCAAGCATCCAAACACCGTCACGTTTTCCTGGCGCACGGAGCTCTGGGGAGGGCAGGTATGGAAGTGAGGCCGCCACATCCTCCATCTCCACCCACCGCCACCCTCAGACTCCCACCCCTGTTAACCCACACCTTCCAAGGACAGCCCATTCCTCCCGGCGCTCTCCACGCCAAAGCTGCTCTCTCACCTCCATTCTCAGAACAGAAAAACTGAAAAACAACAGATCCTCCACAGCAGAAATCTTTCAAGGACTGATGAGACGGCAAGGCCCAATTTTGAATCTGTTCTTTGGGCAGAAGTGTTTCAATTCTGTCCAAGCAAGAGAGAACACCCTCTTTTTCAGTCCTATCTAGCTCATTAAGGAGAAGGAGGGCTGTTGCCAGTTATAGAAACTAATTGTGGACAAAGGCAATTGTAAGGTTTCCCATCATCTTCACCTGGACCCCAAGACAGGTGGAGCATGAAGACACTCACTCCAACTCAGGTGAAATGATCCTAGGTACTGAACAGTGGTAACAGAATGCCCAAGAGATTAAATGTAGCAACCTGGCTGGGATTAAAAGAAACCAGATATCTGCAAGAGTAAATGTAAGGTGTTGTCTACAAGAATAAAGGCAACAGGATGCCATAAGCTCACCTCATTCAAGAAGGATTTGAGGCAGCTTACATAAAATAGAATATAATAAATGCCTGAGGGAAACTTAAAAATCAGGACAGGAAAATAAAGTCTGTCCCTAAGGTAGGCCATATATTTGATACTGCCTTCCAAGCAACCAAAGCAAAGGAAGTATCATGAGTTACCAGATTTGCAACTACATAATATAAAAGCTAATCAGAGTCTCTGGAGAATCACAGCATCCAAAGGGGAAGTTCTGAGATAAATTCTCATCAAAGCGGCACTGTGTGTTGTCATGCATCCTGTCCTCAGCCACAAGAGTGAGTTTCATACAACTTCCTTATATAACTTCCTTCAATGCAAGCCCGGGGCAATATGCCAAAGTATTACTCAGTGAAAGTCTTTCTAGGAGGGAGCCAAAGAAAAAAGTATATGCAGTTCTCTGATCCAAATGTCCAGTTCTTGATCCAAGGGGAGAAAAAAAAATCAAAATATTTGGAGGAAATACCTTTCAGAATAAACAGAACAGGCTGAGGTGCTTAGCACGCGTCATAGAATGCAGATGGATGGAATGTAAACAGATGCTCATTAAAGTGAATGGATGGGAATGCAGAGAGGGAAAGGGTGAGGGGCTGCAGGAGGGCTAGGCTTCTATTCTCAGGGTACTGAGGAAGAAAGAACAAGTATGCGTAAGGCTGTCCTCTAATTCAGGGTCTACGGTTTCAAGGTCGAATCAAGATCTCACTGTCATTGCCCAGAGGCATGGCAATAAGCAAACACAAAATACATACAGTCTTAGCTAGAACAAAGAGAGAATTTGATTATGTAAATAAGAAATATCTTCAGGTTGAATAAATGGCTCTAACAGGACGACTAGAAAGTTCTAAGCCGTGTCCCATAAAAGACCACATGAAGCCACAGACCAGGCCTCAGGTTGGCTGATGGGAAAGCGGTCCCTGCTCTCAGGGCTGGAGGATAGTAGAGTTAAAAGGATCCCTGGCTCAGGGAACAGCTAAGCTGAAGATATTCTCTAATGGGCCAACATAGGGCTCCGCCCTCATCTCAGTCTTAACGCTGACAGTAATGACTAAGAAGTACAAAAAGTTGGCTTTGCAAGTGTGTGAATTACACAAAGTGGAGAAGGCCCGAGTTCCAAACCAGTATTAGGCAATACCTCAAGGAGGGACATAAATTCTTCCATTCAGGTTCAAAAATTCACTGCAAAAATGCAAGATGCGAATTGGCACCAAAATGTATATGCCCCTTGATTACAACTAGATAAACAAAGTAATTAATGTGGAAAAGACATGGGAGGACATAAACCAAAAACAGCTGTGGGCCAGGCACAGTGGCTCACACTTGTAAACCCAACATGTTGGGCGGCCGAGGCAGGCGGATCAGTTGAGTCCAGGAGTTTGAGACCAGCCTGGGCAACATGGTGAAACCCAGTCTCTACTAAAAATACAAAAAATTAGCTGGGTGTGGTGGTGCACTCCTGTAATCCCAGCTACTCTGGAGGCTGAGGCACAAGAATCACTTGAACCTGCGAAGTGGAGGTTGCAGTGAGCCGAGATCACACCCCTACACTCCAGCCTGGGCAACAGAGTGAGACTCCGTCTCAAAAAAAAAGGGTTAAACAGTTGCATTAGGGAGATATTTTCCCCTATTTTCCAAAGTTTTTATGTGATCCTATTACTCTTATAATAAAAAAGTAAATGTATACAACTGGTTTGAAGAAAATACAAAGGAAGTAAAGGGAAAAGACCCAGGGATCTCAGTTCACCACAAGCCCTAGGTGATCCCACAGTGTAATGCAGCTGCTGAAAAAGGCAACTCAATCTCAGGCAGCACAAATGCAAGTCTTGTTACCTGGTACCCCGGTCCGACCACCTCAGATCACTTATTTCAGAGACACAGTGACCACTAGAAGTATGACCAGGTGAGATAGTGAAGGAAGGGGAGAGATCCAAATACCAAGACCCCTAAGACACTGAGGTTCTTCAGCTTTTGGGTGGTTGCAGGTAACATCTGAAGGGCTGTAAAAATAGGACTGGGATGTAATAAATATATCATACTAATGTAAGATATTAATAATAGGGGAAAACGTGAGAGAGTGGGTATATGAGAACTTTGTGCTTTCTGCTCAACCTAAAACTGCTCTAAAAAAAATTAAGTCTGTTGCTTTAAAAAAGAACAGGACAGAGATAGATTTACTGGAAATGGCTTCTGGATATGGCTTTTACCCACTGAATCAAAGATGAGTGGGTAAAAAATTCATGGAGACAGATTTTGATGGGATGTCAGGAATGCCTTTGGCAATCAGCGCTATCCAAACATGAACTGTGTGGCCTCAAGAGGTGGTAAACTCCCCATCAAAGGAGATTTGCAAGAAAAGGTTAACAACTACCGTAGTGAAAGGCCAGTAATGAGCAGGAAGTGAGCCTACAAAACTGGGAAACCCCAGACACTGAGTTGACCTGGTTGACCCGCCCATCTGTAGCAGAGTGAATACTCAGGACATGTTTGTTGACCAGAATTGGGCTGAGCCATGGTCCCTAATTGTCAGGATGGGTGGGAGCAACCTGGACAGGCTTCCTGGAGGAGGTAAACACCCCAACACCCCTGACACCTTCCCCTTCAAGCTCCCTGGCAGAGCAACCTCCCCACTCTCCATAAAGAGTACCGCATTGAGCTGGAGCTCCAGGCTGAGGACGCCTCCACTGTCCAGCACTGGCAACAGCCTCATGGCGAACACGGCTGGGCGCTCAGGGGGAAGGGCCACACTTGGGCCAAAGAAGATGTAGAAGTGGACAGAGAAGGTGTCCAGCTCGTTGCGCAGAGTCGGGCGCACTGGCCAGCAGTGCTCGGGTGGGGACGTGGTCCCAGGCCCCTCCGCAGGGGTTCCAAGGGATGGCGGTTCTGGGGGCAGTGGCTGGTTGCCCAGGGACTGGGGCATGTTCATGGCAGCTCCAGGGACCAGGGCTCGGAGCAGGCCGGGCTGTGGGCACTCTGTGGGGCAGAGGAAACCAGAGCTTGGGCCTGCAGCCTTTACAGTCCTGAACTTACTCATAAACACATCTGAGCTAGACAGGATTTCGCAAAGAGTGGGGAAGGATGAGAACTAGAATGCGATGTCCCTTGGGAGTGTGGGGCATCCAGGTTTATAGGGGTTTCCTAATGGTGACAGCTAATGCAATACCACACTGGAGGGAACTGAGGTCATCTATCCCTCCCTAAAGGCATTGAAGACACTATTGAAACAGATACTAAGTATGAGAGGCTGTCTCACTGACTTGCAAGGGCTTTGGCAAGGACAGTGTCCCAGAGGTCCTGGATGTCCCTGCCTACCCCAGGAAACTGAGAGATTAAATCAAAGAAAGTAATGAGGTCCTTTAGTTGTCTCAAGTCAGATGCAAAAAAAAAATTATCTAAAGGCCTTCCAATAACTTGGAGCTCCAAGTGTGATGGCTTCAGGGAGCATGAAGGAGCTTGGGATGGGGAGGGGAGGTTGTAGGGATATGGCAGAGGGCCACTGAACACAGCCACCCAAGTCACTTCCCAACCACAGATGTCTACACAGACTGGGGCAAATGCAGGGGTTCTGACCTTGCAACCGCACACACAGCTGGAAGCGGATGGTCCTACCAGGGCCCCGGGATGATGTTTCCACACGCACGTAGACCCAGTGCCCCCAGGGGGGCAGTGCCAGCTCCAGCTGGCATCCTGAGGCACCTCCACAGGCCACAGAGCTTGAGTTGTGCAGGGGTGGGGCTTTGGGACGCAGACGCAGTGACAGGGGGCAGGCAGATACCCCACGGCCCCCCACACACACCAGCTGTGCTGAAACCCTGTAAGTGAAGCTGGGCACAAAGACCCTGGGCAGAGGAGAGGTTGGGGGTAAGAAGGCACAAACAGAGGCGAGAGGAACACAGGGCAAGGGAAGCACTAGGAAGGAGGGGGCATAGGGTGGGAAGGAGGCCTGTTCAGGTCTCCCGCTCTGTGCTGGGAGGGAGGGAGGCAGGGATCCCACCCAGGGACCAGGCAGGTAGGTGGAGAAGCCAAGAGAGAACCCTGCAGCCTGTATGAGGCCACAGAAGAGGGAAAGGACCAGGTGTGGGGAGTCTTTGACTTACTTGTACAGGGCTGAGCGATTGTGTGGGGAGAGGGTTTGCTCTGAGGGCCGGCCAGGAACCAGCACAGCGACGTCCAGCAAACGCCGGACAATCAGCTGCGGCTGAAGGAGGTACTGACACTCATCCTGGAGACCCTGGGACAAAAGCAGGGGTGGCAGGAGAGGGAGAGACAGCAGGGGTGTGACTAAACCAAGGCAAACAGAACCTGCTGGGCGGGCTGGGGAGAAACCCCCGCCCCGGCCACCACTCCCAGGCCTCTAACCCAGGTCTCTCTAAATTCCAGGTCCTTCCTGCCTGAGCAGTCATTTCTGGTCATCTCTGTCCCACCTCAGTCTGCAAGGTCTGCTGGGATCCTCAGCACTGGCTGAGGTTTTGGGATTCAAACCCAGGCCCTCCTGACAATCAGGCCTGGCTTGCCCCTTCTCCCAATCTAACCCCTCCCCCTGAGCATTCTGGGCCAGCCCAGCAGCACTGTGATCTCCAACCAGCCCATTCCCTGAGCAGGCTCAGGAACTTAGAACACTGGCTCTTTTAGGCAAAGTGGGGTGGAGTGGAAAGCTCTTTCAAGGCCTCCAATCCAGCCCCCTCACTCTCCCCGCCACCAATCTCAACCTTTAATTTCCTTTAGTCCTCACCCTGCCCCGCTCCCACGTGCTTGTCCAGCCTCTGCTTTCACACTCATTACACCCAGGTAATGAGCGGCCCTACACAGGTAATGAGTGCAGGGCCACTCATTACTTCCCAGGCAACCTCCAGACTATAAGCAGCTTGAGAACAGGAACCCTGTCCTATTTGATGTTTGTTCCTCCAGACACAGGGCCTCACATAGAGTGCATACCTCACAGATGAATGTTTGCTGAATTAATCAATCAGTAAATGGATCATCCCACCTGGGGGAAGCGCTGACCTTGCTAAAGCCAAATCCTGTCATCTTTGATGCCCCTGCCCCAACTCTGCCTTCAAGGGACCCACTGATCCGTCTGGTCCCTCAGCCTCAGACTGTGTTTCTTCTGCTGCTAAAGGAGATCAACCACGTCTCCCCCAGCTTCTCTTCTGGAGAAAATCCCCAGCTCCTTCTCTGTTGACACCCCATGGCTCGCAGAGCCTCATCACTCTCCAGTAAGCTCAGTCCCATTTGTCGCAGTTCCTCTTCTGCAGCACGTGCAGCTATATGAGCCCTACAGACCTCACAGTTAAGGGGAGGTGGGGGCTCCTAATTAGGACATACCTTCAAACTCTGTTCTGGGACAAAAGTTCCAGGCCCTGACATCCCACTGAGTTCCATGGCTCAGAACAAGCCAGCCAAGGCACTGACTTCCAGCAAAGCTCCAAAAGGCTGGAAGGTCTGTGCCTTTTGCATCCCCAGTGTCTAGCACACCACCTGGCACACACTAGGTGCTAAAATAGCTGTTAAAGAATGGGTGTCAAAAAGGGGGTCCCTTCAGAGAGCTCCTGAACCAACCTAGATGCTCAGGTTTGGTGTCAAACCCGAAGAACCAAAAGACTCTCATAAGTCACTGCACTGACCCCACCTCCTATGGCAAGAATCACCACCACAATAATCTTGTAGTGAATGAGTCCCAAGGGTGGGGGCTCATGCTCCAGTGGTGGCCCATTTCCTTGCTAGACAGTCCAGGGAAGGAACACTTTGCTCCACGTTTTGGAGTTTTACTTGCGTTTGATTCAATGAAAGATCAGTGGACATGACCTGTTTGGTTAAGACGTGCTCCTTCCTTCAACTGTGTAACGTGCACAGCCAGTCCCCCCTCTTCATGCAGAGGGAGTGTTTAGTCAGTGGAGACCAGGGAAGATGCAGGGAACCGTCACCCAGTGATGGGACCAGAGAAAGAGCACCGGAAGTCAGGTCCTCAAGAGCTGCCAGGGCAGACACCAGGTGAGAGAGTCCCAGCTGAGCCAAGAGGCCAGAAGAACATCAGCAGTCGGGGAGGCCCAGGGCACAGGCAAGGAAGCTCAAGAAACTAGGAGAGGCAAAAGTGAGATGTGGATGGGCTACAGGCTGAAAGATCCTGGAGTCTAAGGCATGGTAGATAGATTCCTACAATGTCCTCGTATGTATGGGCTGGGTTTCTTCAGAAAGGCCTGAGTGGGCTGGCCAGTGCCAGGCTCTGGGTGGGGCTTGCAGACTGAAGATGCCCAAAGACACTTAGCCTTCTCTGCGGGAATAGCAAGTGCACAGCTGAGCCCATGCCCAGAGGCAGAAAGCACCAATCAGTGTAGAAGCAAACGAGTGCTGGACAGATTTCAGGGGGCAAGGGTGAAAGCAGGAAGACCACTTATGAGGCTACTGTGGTAGCCCTGGAGAAAGCAGAGAAGCTGTGCTAGAAGTGGAAATGAAGAGCTGGAGAAGCCTTCAGGGCATGCCTCAGAAGTAGCGTCAACAAGACTTTTTCTTTACGATTGCTTGTGAGGAATAAGGAGACAAGAAAAATCAAGGATTTGGGGCATTTAATTTGGGGCTTGAGCAATGGGTGGATGACAGTACAATTTCCTGAGGAAGATCACAATGACTAGAGAAAGAAGCATGGACTGGGAGCAGTGAAATGGAAATTAAAGAGTTTTATACTTTTAGCTTCACTTTGATTTGATTTTACTAAATACTGTATGAGACATTTCTTAGACATCCAGTTGGAGATGTCAAGTAAGCAGTGGGATATAGTCTGAGATTCAAAGAAATTAGGACTGGCTGAATACTCGTGGAAGCATTAACATATAGATGGTATTTTAAATTATTGTGCTGGAACACCAAGCAAGAGAATAGAAAAGTGAAAAAGGAATTGTTCGAGGACCAAGCATTGGGCCACTACAACCTGGAGATCAAGCAGAGGAGAGGCCAGGAAAGGAGACAGAGGAGTGGGCAGTGGGAAAACCAGGACAGTTCTGTAAAGTCACAGAGGCCAAGAAGGGAAGGTGTTTCAAAAAGAAAAGAGTAATATAGGGGACTAGTTAACAGCTAGTTACTAGTTAACTCTGGGGCGGGGAATTGGAGACTGGAAGAATGGAAGAGGAAAACTTACTTTCCACTGTATATCTTTTGTACCTTTTGAATGTTGTACCAGGTGCATGGATTGCCTATTCAAAAAATAAATAAACTAATGTAGGAGGAGGAAAAGCAGCTGCACTATTAGCAGATTCTAACCACCTCAGCTGAGATATTGAGTCACGTGTGGTCCTAGTCGGTGGATTCAACAGAATCCTTTCTCCTGTACAGTCGACTTCTTCACTTTCCTCGTAGTTGCTTTCATTATTTTACCTACTTTTTCAAATCTTAGACACAGGAAGAGGAAGGATGAGAACCTGCACTCTAGACATTTGGGAGTACTTTCCCCTCATGAGCCATTTGGGTGCCAAATGGTATCCACAACCCAAAGGCCAGCCCCCCAGAGCAGACTGGCAACTGGGCACCTTAGAATGAACACACGATCCAAAACAGGAAAGGCAAGGAGATGGAGGCCGGGGACAAGACAGAGTGGCTGATAGGAAGAAAGGGACAAGGAAAGGACGTGAAAAGGCATCATGTGCCAGACTCTGCACTGGAGGCTAGGAATACGTAGTAAATAACACAGACACAGGGTCTGGCAGAAGTGTGGGACTAGAGTTCACGAGGGTGGCCCGGACCAGGTAAGTCACTTCTTTTTTACAACCTTTCAGGGCTCCCTATCACGCTCAGGATACAGTTCAAATGTCAAGGCCCTTCGTGATCTGGCCTCTGCTCAACCCTCTACCTTCCTCACCACCCCAACACCAGCCCACACTGAGCCACTTCAGTTCCTTCTAAACTTTGGGCCATGCTACTCCCACCACCTGGAATGCCCTTCCCTGCCTTCTCAACCTCAGACCTCACCGCTTAACAGTTTCCAATACCACCTCCACCACGCTAGCAAGCTGAGTTAGCCATCTCCCCTTTATCCTCCTAAAACATTTCCTATATCCGACATGCATCTTATTTTTCTCTGTGTCCCCAGCACACAACCCAAGGCCTGGCACAAAGCAGGTACTAAAGGACTAAGGCTAAAGGGAGATCTGAGCTCATCCCCAAAGCTGAGAAGGACCCTAGAAACACACTGCCTTCTTATCGCTGGGACTCTTCAGTTCCCACCAAAGGATAACCCTAAACCCACATAAATTCCTGTGTTCAAGCCTTACAGGAAGCATGCCATAGTAGGGGAAGGAAACAAGTTGAGAAGATGGAGGAATGCTCTAGACAATTAACCCACAGGCTGGAATCCTGGAAATTAACCAGGATCTGGAGAGCTGAAGAACCCTTTGAGGACCATATAAGACTACAGAAGTTAATCTAATTCTTAGAAGGACCAGACCCAAGATCCTTGCCCCATCAACCTCTCAAACAGGGCTGATGGAAGCACTACATCTCTCACGGCGTCCAGACCCACTGCCACTCGTGGGCACGGTGGGATGGTCCTCTTCTGTCTAGCCTCACCACACACCTGGGGAAGCTCTGACCAGGGTTCCAGTTTGGTACCAAGTTCCCCAGGCCCCGCTTCCCATGTCTAGATGCAAATGCACATGTCAGACCTAGTTATTTCCTCACTGCCCAGCTCCCCCTTGGTCTGGGCACTTGAATCACCCTTTAGGGTCTGAGCAGCTTTTCTCTGCACTACTATCTCTATTCCCCATTGTCCCAATCTGGTAGCCATAAGCAATCCTGACCACTTCTAACTGGGCCTCAGCTCCCACAATCCCAGCCCAGGCCTAGGCCCTAGGTTCCTGCTCACCTAGAAAGGTTTTTGGATAACTAGAGCCAGGCTTCAGGAGGATTTTCCCTGTCAGTTCTTACAAAGTGGGTCAAGGATCAGAGTTGGGATAAAGAACATCCCTGTTGGGATTTTGCCAAAGACCTACGAAGGCATTCCTTCTAACAGAAGAACCCTCAGTTCTGATGAGAGTCAAGGCCTACCTAGAACCTAGGGCCCTTTCCAAGCTAGCTCCCAACATGCTGTCCTTCAGCAGGCTCACAGGCCTTGATAGGGAGTTCTCTTGCACATCCACATCACTCTCAGGAAAAACGGCCCTGTCACTGAGGCCTAGAGACACTACCTCAGCCCTACTTCCCATCTCTGACAATAGCAGTGCCAGCACCCTTGTCCTTATGTGAGTCTCAGCTCATTCAAAGGCACTATTCACCCCATTTCTGAGTGCTAAGAGTCCTCTTCTTTAAATCCTCACTCTGTTCTTGCTCGTTTCTTCACCCTCACCACAGGCCCCATGCACGTGGCCATCCCACTCTGACAACAGCCAGCTCAGCACACCCCCTGCTTCTCCTCCAGTGAACAGGAATAGGAGACCTGTCTGGCCTAATCCATGAGAGTGGCAGGAAAACATTGCAGCATTTCCTTCCACTCCAAACCAGAGAGACATCTGACCTTTGAACCTGCCCTTCAGTCTTTAACAACCTCTGTGAAATAAGTGCTTGGGGTGGCTGATATTTGGAGAAAAGTGAGGCAAAGGCCAGGATGGACACTAGCTGCCCAAAGCCTCCTTTTAGCAGGAAAGAGCTTCTCTTGTGGTCTTCTGAAAGGTGTAGGAAGCTGTCTGAAATTATGATGCAAGAGGAATACATTCTCCCAGATGGACTAAATACTGGGCCGTGGCCTAAGAGAGTCTTCAGGGCTATTGTCAATCAAGATGTAAAATAAAACCAGTCCTGGGTGTGTGCAGCAGATTGGACCAGCCCATAGCTGGCTTCTGTTCACCTTGATTAACATTTGTGCCTTCCACTAGGAGGCGGCACTACTCCCCTGTGCCAGAGCCTCTGACTCCAGATTCTCAACTTTCCCTTCAGCTTACCTGGACCCAGCATGTCCTCCTGGGGCTGCCAAGTTGCCTCCTCCAGATCATGGCCTCTGACCCACTGGGTGACCTGCTGGCCTTTAGCCATGCCCCGCCCCAGCCACCCTTGTGCTGCTGCCCACCCTGACACAAGGCTGGTGTGCCAGAGAGCCTGTGGGGGGAATTCAGCAGAGATGGAAGGGCAGTTCTGGACCCCCGAGCCTGGGCAACATCAACCCACCTTGACAGAGATGTGGCCGTGGGCCTGGGGAAGGTGGGCAGCCAAGAACCAGTCCCCAGGTAAGGGGCTGCTGACGTTAAAGATGCCTGAGGTGCGGTTGGGCAGTGTCCAGCTGAGGGTCAGTGAGAAAACCCCAGGCACAGCTGTGTCCCCTGGGAAGTGTGTATGCAGGGGATTGATGACAGGGGGTGCCCCGGACCGGAAATACCTGGGGGACCAGAATTAGGAGAGGAGGAAAGCAGACAATGGGGTGGGAGGCAGGAAATGAAAGAAAGAAAGAAAAGAACTGTCACTCTTCACCGATAAAACAAATAGATTCCCTATACTGACACATTCAACAAAGTGGTTCCAGGTCAGGGGCCACAGGTGAGAGATCAGCTCAAGCACTTGCACAGTCATACAGTAGTCCGGAAGTGGTCATGTGACAGAGGTCATGGCCCTCACTCAGTCACACTTCAATCTGGACGCGGGTTGGGGTCAGGGTCGGGAGGTCAGTTAAAGTCACACTTTAGTCTGGAAAGTGGTCAGGGATTGGAAGTGGGGTTGGGAAATTAACTCAGACACTCACACAGTCACACTTTGGTCTGGGCAGTGGTCCCCAAAAGTTCCCCCTTGCTCCTTGAAGATGATGAGGTTCCAAACAGCCAGGAATGTGTCCTCAGGAACATGGAAGTGGAAGAGCTCGGTGCTGGCAAAGGAGCGGAAAGGACTCAGCTTGCGGGGTGAGCAGGTGGAGTAATCAGTCAGGAAAAGGCCTCCTGGGAAGCAGGAGAGAGAGAAAGGAGCAGGGCAGGACAGAGGGCATTTCCATTAAGCAACAGGCATGCCAGTCTTCCTCACCAATAGCATCAACTCCACAAATGCTCTCCTCTGAGCCAGGAACTGGGTTTCAGGCTGCAGATCTGAAACCTAGCCATCATCTGGTTTAATCCTTACGTTAATCTTATTTAAAAAAAAACAAAAACAAAAACAAAAAAACCCTCCTTTTACAGATAAGGAAACTGAGGCTCAAACCTAGACCAAACTGAGGATGCAAACCTAGCTCTCTCTAAATCCAAAACTAAGACCCTTTGACTTCACAGCTGCCTCCTCACTTAGGAGCCATTTTCTCCACTTACCAAACCTAAAAAAAACAGATGTGTGGAAGGTGTGTGTGTGTGTGTGTGTGTGTGTGTGTGTGTGTGTGTATTTTGGCATGGCGTCTTAAGCCACTGAGCAGGCTGAAACTCCACCTGTGGGGCTTGGGAGTCAGCATGGAACTGTGTAACTTCCTTGTTGATTTTCTTCCCCTTTCTGTTCCCCTGTGGTTAGGAGCAGTAAAAACCCTCAGCAGCCTCACAAGCGCTGCCTGTATACTGGCTCAGGGCAGGAGAGGGGAGGGGAAAGTGTGGTACGGCTGCCAGGGGCCTGCTTGGGTGGCAAAAGCAAGGACAGGAGCTGGCAGGCCACCATGAGAGTCCCCAGGAAAGGAGAGTCATCAGGCCTCCCAGGTCAGAATGCACAGCTAGTAGGTGGGGGCCGGGGGAATGTTCCCCCAAAGGGAAGCCCAGTGAGGCAGTGAGTTAGTGACCCAGTGGATTTCAAGCCCCTTGGGAATATTCAGAGCAGGCCGAGTTGGGAGGTGGGGAGGAAGTGGTCATCCCTCATTAAAATGCCAAGATACCTGATCATGATTGTCAGGAGCAGAGCCAAGGTGAGCAGAAGTTGTGTCAGCAGCTAGCCAGGCAAGGGACTAGAATAGCTGTCACAGTGGAGGCAACCAGTAGCAGACAGGGGAAGAGGGTCCCAAATGGCAGGCAAGGTCTCTCAAAGTAAACCTCTAGGGAATCTGACTGCTCTGGAGACTTCGGACCAGCCAGAAAAGAAGCCCAAGATGACACCTCCAGGACAGGTGAGAAGGTGGGGAACTCAGCAGCTTCAGGACAGACCCGGGGCTGGAATAAGGACTACTCTGGAGGGGCATTTTCAGCCAAGCAGGAAATACCCTCAGGGCTAACCTAGTCCAATCATCTCCCTCTCTGGAGATGGGAGAGATTAACTCCAAAAATGAGGTGTTTTTGAAATAACAAAGAAAGGGAAGGGGAGGCTGCTGAAGGACGAACACTGAACCAGAGCAACCCCAGGAGTCACCCCAGAGAGCTGCCCTACATAGGTGGGGGCCATTGGAGGCCACGGTTACACTCAAGGACTAGTCTGTCCAGTTCAGACCACATGATCAGTCTCAACTGTCAGGAAGGAAAACCTGTCACCTTGCAAGCTGAGCACTGCCTAGGAACCCAGAGAGGCTACCAGTGCAGCATTCAGAGAGTGATAGAGATGCAGCCGAGAGGGATAAAGGGAAATGGGACCGACTGATGGAAGAGACGGGTTTCCTAGGAACCCTAGCTGTGCTAAGTAGGAGGCAGAAGGCTAAGAGGTGAACAGCCTGGATACTATTGTTAGAAGAAATCAGAACTCTAGCGCACCTTCTGCTGGGGTTAGGGAAGGGCTGATCCTCCTCAAAGCTGGTACCAGGGATGGGTCATCTGATCAACCATTGCTACCGTTAGGAGAAATGTTGGTCAGTCCCTCGGTGCAGACCCTCAGATGAGGGCTAGTGGTGAAAAGCAGTTTAATGACCTTTGGGAAACATGGACAGACAAGCACAAAGATCCTTGTAATTCAAAGGATCACAGTATGGCCTGGGGAACTGGGGAACTAGCTAAGCCATCCCCACAGTGGCCAGGGGCTACAGAGGTCACAGAATAGGCCAGTGAGATAAAGGAGTGAGCAGCAGCTGGGAATGCTAGGAGGAACTTGGAAGAAGTTCTGAGGGCAGATGCTTGAGAAAGGGTCCACAGCCCCATTCACTCCAAACTTTGGTTTGCGGTTTGAACAGGGCCTACCAGAGCTGTGTCCAGAAGAAGCATGAGTAAGGCCCTTACCGAGTTCAGATGAACTTATTCCAGGTTCCCCAATATTTCTATGATGAAGCTAGGGTAATTCCGACCATCACCCACCCCATACACACATACACATACACACACACACACACACACACACACACACACCCCTACACCTACACACATAGGCTGAGGCTGGCCCTGCTAGTAATAGCACTAGGTAGAATAAAAGCCCATTTTTTTTTGAATAGCAAGGCACGTGTGAGTCCTCAACTAAGCCCAAGGAAAAGATCCAAGGATCAGGAGTGGGACCACTAGACCCAAGAGATAACTTCCATTCCTGAAATGAAACCGAAGCAACCAATAAGCACTGTGCAGCCCTGTGCCATGATGGTCCTATGACACTGCCAGCCTCTCCTCAGACAAAACCCATCACCACCATTAGGTCACAGAGCACCCTGTACTTTGGTCCAAAATTGCCAAGGCATTCATTATTAACAGCACTAAAGGCAGCCCTGCCTCCATTTGGGTGTATTGGTACTCTTTTCCAACTTCATTACAATTCTCCCCAAAGCACCTGAACCTGCTTCTGGGCAACAGTGTTTTTATCCACAACTTTCAGCTGTATATGCTCTGTGGCTGTCGGTCACCCTGCTCCCCTCACCAGCCCAATGCTTGCTCAATGGGCACATGAAGAAGCCATGATGGCAGAGGATGGAAGCTAGGAACTTGGCCCAACAGCATAAACTTCCCCTTACCAAAACTGAAAACCTGACTGGCTACTGCCTCTGCCCAGTGTCCAATTTGCCAGCAGCAGTAATCAACACAGAGTGCCTCCACAGCTCCTTCCTTCAAAGGCACTGGCTGGGGATGGATGGATAACTTATATTCGTTATGGGAGGCATGCAACACTGCCCTCACCCTTGGAACTGCTGAGAAAGGGTCTCCAGCCCCATTCACAGCTTCAGTGATCTGTCCATATGAGGAGGAGGCAGAGCTGAAGAGGAATGTACATGGGCCACAACATGTCCCCTCCCCTTCATACCATAACACAGGCGCTCAGAAGATACACTGGCTCACATGCACCCCACACACATGCACGTGTCTACACTTAACAACACACAAGCATGTACACATGCTGCCAGCCTCCCCACAATCCCTCAGTTACACACATACACATAAGTGACCAGACATCTCTGCAGGGGTTGTGACCTTTCACGTGCATTCGTCTCCTTAAGTTTGTACACTGAACCAGGCCCCCAGAGCTCACTGATACCCATTCTCCACCCCCCAGCTGTTCTGTTGGCTGTTATTTCCAAAGACTCCATCAGGCACATCTCCATCCTATCTAGAGTGACACCCACCAGAGGTGGCTACAGACTTGGGCCATGAAGACTACAGTCACTCCATGATGGAGCCATCTTCATGGCACATCCCCTAGACCAGGACACCCCCTCCTCCTCCCACATTCCAACCATTAAAAAATTGGACCTCTCTCTCTTCTGTCCAAGTCACTTCCCCACCGGAGGGTGGCCCTTGGCTGACGCCTGGCAAATAAGGAACAGTTTGTGGATAAAGCACCCTTGTGGGCAGACCGGGGAGAAGGGAGGTTATGCTTTGAGCCTTTCCCCACTTGGGTCTATTTTTCTATTAAGTATACATTGCAGTGGATAAAAAAAAACACACTAGTATGAAATAGGAATTAGGAAACCTTTTTTCTAGCCCCAGCACACTGCCATTCACAAGCTCTCTGACTTTGGACAAATTGCTCCCTCCCTGAGCCTCAGTTTCCCCATCTGTAAAATAGCCTCCGAGTTTCAGCCCTGCTCTAAAAGTATCAGGAATTATTCCTAGGCAAATCAATCTTCTTTGGAACAAGAATCATTACAAGAAGAAAACTCATTATAATGGCAACTAATCCATATTCATCTATTTGCTACATATTATCTTTAAAACTCTTCTTCATGCCGTTTGAATGCATGCCCAATATCTCAAAGGTTTGGGCTATATATTCCCACACTACACTAGGGGCTTCTGGTGTGGGACTGTCTCTCCCCCATCAAACTTTGTGAGCAGGAGCAAAGCCCACAACATTTCCCTGGAAAAGCAAGAGTCAAAGTGGGGTCAGGACAGACACCAGAAAAAATCTTGGAGTCTCTGTGCTAGAAACTGTAAGCCACCTGCTGAGCCTCAAACCCAATTAATTACCACTCTTTTGACCCTGCCAATCCCTGTTGTGTAAGACCTCTCTACTCTCTATTTCTCCCACTTGCTCCCCAATGATCTAGTTCCCCAGGTCCCACCTCTCCTGAATCTCTCCAGCCCACCCCTCCCTGCCGGAACCCCATTCCTGCCTCAATCTTCCCTGCTTCTGCACTCACCAGCCCCTGGGCCAAGGACAGAGAACAGCAACAGCAGCAATAGGGCTGGCGGCAGCTGAAACCCAGACTTGAGTCTAGGCTGGGAGAGGGGCAGAGTATGAGAGATAGGGGGGACTAGAGGGAGAGACTTGGGTAAACACAGAGATGAGGGCAAAGGCTGAGATAATGGGTTGGGCTGGGCTGGACACTGGGGCTTGAACAAGGGCAGGGAGTGGGATGGAAGGAAGGGCTGTGATGGGGACTGCAGCAAGGGACGGGGTTGAGCCAGGGCCTTAAGCAAACACTGGGAATGGGGCTGGGACAGGGCCTGGGCTGGGATTTGTGACAGGGGGTGGAACGAGGGCCGAGGCCGGGATGGGGGCCAGGCCAGGGGCAGAGACTGGAAGGGGGTCCTGGATGGGGACCCAGGCAGGGGCTGGGGCCGATGTGGGAAGCGGGGCGAGGGCGGGGCTGGGGGCCAAGGCGGGGATTGGGATAGGACGAGGGGCCGGGACAAGGGCTGGGCCATGGCCCGGGGCGGGGGCGGGGCCGGACAGGCCAGCGCGGGGCGCTCGCAGAGCTGGCCCGCGGCTCCGCTCCCCACCCCCGGGGGGTGGCCTCCGGTGTCCTCGCGGGCCCGGGGCGGGGGCCGGGGACCTGGGTAGGAGTTCAGGCCTGGGCGACTCCGGGCTGCGCTGAACCGGCGATAACCAGGCCCCGCGGCGGCGGCCTCGACTTGACGTCGGCGTGACGCCCCGCCCCCCGGCCGGCTCGATTGGTCCCTGTCAGTAAAGCCCGCCCCCGCCCTACTCTATTGGTCCCCAACTTAGTCCTGCTGGGCTTCGAGGACACACAGACTCCGCCCCCGCCTCAGCTACCCGAGACCCTGCCTTTCTCACCCCAAGCACAGAGCCCGAGGTCCCCTCAGATCCTCACAGCCCCCAACGACCGCCCCACAGATGTCTCAAAGGAACCCTATCCTCACAATCCCAGACTCCCCCGGACGTACGCACAGATCTCCGCAGATCCTACCCAAACACTCGCTCACAGAGATCCCGCAACACACACCCCACTTTTCAGAAGTAAACCCTCTGGGCTCGCCCCCTCGAGGCCCAATGCAAGCCCCTCAGGAGACCTTACCCACCGGGGAGGTGACCAGACCGCCGTTGCCACGGAGACTACTAGGCGTTCCGGTTGCCCTGGTGACCGGCGCCTACTCTCCTGGCCCGGGTTCCGGAGGCTTCAGTCAAGACCCTCCCTCATTGGCCCTAGACCCCTTGTCCCTACCCACTTCCCCAGGTCATGCCAGAGCTCCTTTGCGAAGTTCTGCAGATATCCAAGTCCCCTTCCCAGATAGCAGACTTTCAGGCAAGGCATTTCAACACTCAGCACCTGCAGCTGAGGCACATCCACAACCAAGAGCCTTTCCTCCCTGAGGATCAACACCTCCCCCTGCCATCCTAAGTCAAGGTCTTGACCTAAGGACTTGTAACAACCAAGCCAAAGCCCAGAGGGTAGGTGGTTTCTCCAACGGCCCTTGCCCTCTTCCCTCAAAGACATCTGTCTTTCTCCCACCCCTCAGTCCCTTCACATTGTTGTAGTAGTAGTAGTAGTAGTAGTAGTAGTAGTAGTAGTAGTAGTAGTTGTTGTTGTTGTTGTTGTTGTTGTTGTTGTTGTTGTTGTTTGAGACAGAGTCTCGCTCTGTCCCCCAGGCTGGAGTGCAGTGGTGCGATCTGGGCTCACTGCAACCTCCGCCTCCCAGGTTCAAGTGATTTGCTTGCTTCAGCCTCCCCAGTAGCTGGGACTACAGGCGCCTGCCACCATGCCCAGCTAATTTTTGTATTTTTAGTAGAGACTGGGTTTCACCATGTTGGCCAGGCTGGTCTCGAACTCCTGACCTCAAGTGATCCACCCGCCTTGGCCTCCCAAATTCTGGGATTACTGGCATGAGCCACCATGCCTGGCCCACATTCTGTACTTTTCATCCTTACTCTCCTCCTCCACCCAATTTCCTCCTCCCCTTCTCTTTCCCCTTCCTCACCTCCCATCTTCTGGTTCTCCACTCTTAGGCCCCTTTTCTCTCTAGCTGACTCTGGTCATCTTCCTCCCTGTAATCCTACCTCTGCCCCTAATTCCCTTCCCAAACATCCCCTTCAAAAAGGCTCTGATGCATTTAAGGAGTGATATATCTAGCGTCTCTGGAACATGGGGGTAAAGTAGGGAGCACGGAAAGTTAAGGCAGGAATCCTCAGGCTGTGTTGAAAATGATGACAGGCCTTGAATGCCAGGGCCAAGAAATTTGGACTTAATCCTTTAGACTGAGTCATGGAATGTTTTTAAGCCACAAAGTGCCAGTTGTTGGGCTTGCACTTTAGAAAGATCCTGATTGGGTCAGGAAGGAGGACTACATCCTTGCAGGATAAATTAGGTATATCCCCCTCCCCACCGTATCCTAGACTCACCCCAGAACAACATCAATTTATTTGTATTGCCATTGTTGGTTAATCGGTCTCTCTCCTAGACTCAACTCAATCTAGAGCTTAGCACAGCGGGTCAGTAAAAGCATCAGATTAGGCTCATTGTAAAAGTATAAGTTACATAAATCCATGAAAGAATGGGTGAATGGATTAAAATGCTGTGGATGGAAGTAGAGGGGCAAAGTTATTACACAAAGGCTGAAGATGATGAGAACTTGAATAAAATTGGAAGGGAGAGGAGAGAATGCATTTGGGGAATATTTAGAAGATAGGAAATAGAGTTATTGGTGCCTATTTGAAGATGGAGTCTAAGGGAAAAGGAAAAGACTAGGATAATTCCCAAAGTTCAGTTTTGCTGTCTGTGGAAACACTCAGTTAGAAATGACCAGCAGGGGCCAAGCACGGTGGCTCACTCCTGTAATCTCAGCACTTTGGGAGGCCAAGCAGGGCAGATCACCTGAGGTCAGGAGTTCAAGACCAGCCTGACCAACATGGTGAAACCCCGTCTCTACTAAAAATATAAAACTTAGCCGGGCATGGTGGCACACGCCTGTAATTCCAGCTACTTGGGAGGCTGAGGCAGGAGAATCACTTGAACCCGGGAGGCGGAGGTTGCAGTGAACCGAGATTGCGCCACTGCACTCCAGTCTGGGCAACAGAGCGAGACTCCATCACAAAAAGAGAAGAGAAGAGAAGGCCAGCAGGCAGGTGGGTATGAGTGTGAAGTACAGAGGTTGAAAAAGGTCTGAGCTAGAAATGTGAATTTAGGAGTCATTGGTACACAACTGGAAGTAGTTAAAGCTTTGAACATGAATGACATCATTAAGGGAGGAGGATGTGTGTGGTGCCTAGACAAAACCAGGCTGCGTGCAGTGTCTTGCCTTATGTGACAGCATTCCCCTGCACTCTCAGGAGCCAACCCCAACTTTGGCTTGGTATTGCCAGTCTCTAGAACTCCATGGTCTGACCTCCAGGGTTTTAAGATATGCCAAGGACCCTGCTCTTGGACTGCCCAAGTGGTGTTGTTCAGACTCCCTCCTGGGACATGGTTCTCTGCTACCATCTACTGATGGGATTCGAACTACTTCAGTCTTTCAATCTTTAAGTTCCAGCTCCCTAACAAGCCACAGCAGCATGCCATATGAGGTCTGGACACATGGGTGAACCTTTTGGCATCACACTCTAGGACCCAGAGTTCATGTTGTTTCCCTCTTATATCTCAGCTGCACTGATATCCTTATCCAAATTCCATAATGCACTGCGAACCCTGGGCTCTGCCCTGACTTGCCGGCCCTCTATTTCCAACCTAATGAAGCCTGTACCCTGTTCTACCACTAGATGGAAGCACATGAGATCATAGAAGAGCCTCATATCACCATGGATGCAGAGAAGCACCCCCCTTCAAAGGACCCCTCTGCTGAGGACTTACAGGAGAACCATATCTCTGAAAGCTTCTTGAAGCCTTCCACCTCTGAGACCCCGTTAGAGCCCCATACCTCTGAATCCCCTTTGGTGCCATCCCCTTCCCAGATCCCCTTAGAGGCCCATTCCCCTGAAACCCATCAGGAGCCTTCCATCTCTGAGACTCCTTCAGAGACCCCTACCTATGAGGCTTCATTGGATAGTCCCATCTCAGTGGTGCCAGAGAAACACCTTACTCTTCCTCCCCAATCACGAGACTATGTCTGTCTGTCTTCTTCTGATACTCTGAAGGAAGACCTCTCCTCTGAGTCTTCTTCCAATGAGGTCCCATGGACAAGGAGGTCTACCCATCTCTCTGAATCTGAGAGCCTTCCAGAACACTGTCTTTCAGGCCCTTCATCCCAGGTCCAAGTGGACACAACCGAAAAGCAGGAGGAAGAAGCAGGAGAGGTTGAAAAGGGAGTAGATGCCAGTGACAGCACTGCTCACACAGCCCAACCTGGACACCAACTAGGCAAGAAGAAGAAGAAGAAAGGAGTTAGCTGTAATTGTACCTGTCCTCTCCCCTGTCCTGTTCTCACTACTATTCACTGTCCTTGACTTGCCCCAGGAGGAGGAGACTGGGTTACTCTTGGACATGGCCCCTTCTCTTAGTTTTAGGGCCTTCTCACTTCCCCCTGGTTACTCATCCTCTCCCATCCTAGGTAACACAGCCCGCCCAGTGTTCCCTGCTAGGCAGACAGAGCTGGTGGAAGTGGCTAAGGCAATGCATAGAGAGGAGTTTGGTGCTCAAGTGAACAATCTTTTCCAGTGGGAGAAGGATGCAGCCCTGAATGCCATCCAGACAGGTGAGCCCATGTGGCCTTTCAGAGGCCTGTGACAGGCCCATGGGCATCCTCTAATCCAAAAGATCTGGGAACCTGAACATTCAGCAGATAGCTTCCCCTTTTGGAAATGGCTATACCACCTGCCTGGAAAAGGAGCAGGCAAGTGGGCCAAGGAATACAAGGGTGGATGCAGACAAAAAGTGGGGAGATTCATATAAAGCCCAGGTAGAGACAGGTAGCTGAACTAAAATTATTAAACACAGAAGGGTCGGCTGGGCGCGGTGGCTCACGCCTGTAATCCCAGCACTTTGGGAGGCCGAGATGGGCGGATCACGAGGTCAGGAGATCGAGACTGTCCTGGGTAACACGATGAAACCCCGTCTCTACTGAAAATACAAAAAATTAGCCGGGCGTGGTGGCAGGTGCCTGTAGTCCCAGCTACTCGGGAGGCTGAGGCAGGAGAATGGCGTGAACCCGGGAGGTGGAGCTTGCAGTGAGCCGAGATTGCGCCACTGCACTCCAGCCTGGGCAACAGAGCGAGACTCCGTCTCAAAAAAAAAAAAAAACCAAAAAACAAAAAACAAAAAAAAACAGAAGGGTCATGGCCCACCCCAGATATAGGGCCCAGAGAGCCTACAGACCCTAAAGCAGAGATGGCCCAGGACCCTGGACAGTCCCCAGGAGACTTGCTGTTCTGACATGACAAAGACCTTAGTCCCTTTGGTGGAACTCCATTAAAAGGCTGTCACCCCTGCATGCCAGGCCCATGCTGGGTACCCAAAAGCTTTGAGTTCTGTTACCAAAGGGGAGACCTGTGTCCTCTGGCCCTGCTGTTTCCAAGCCTCAGCCTGTGATTAGTACTCTTGACAGTCCTGTTAGTGGCATGCTGCGTACAGATGAACTTGCAAAAACATGCCATCCTATGCATGAGCATGCCTACCTGTGTTATGGAAATTCATGTCTATAGGGATTACCTTCAGTAAGAGGGCCACCCTGACCTGCTATAAGGATTCTGGTCTTTCTAGACTGAATTCAATAGATGTTATGACATTTATTTTGGTCCTTCATACTTCCTTTCCCTTTATGATGGGAATAGAGCTACGATGACAGGCCTAAAACATAAAGACAAGCAGGTAATTCTAAATGCTTATCCCTCCTCCATGAAATTTACTTTCCCCTTTCCCATGCAGGGACCCTCCACCTCCCCACCCTTGCCCTCCCGCCCCACCACCAACTTTGTTTGCTTATGTTAACATATTCGGTTACTCTTATTTTCTTGCAAATTCTGGCTGGCAAGGTGGCTCACATCTGTAATCCCAAAACTTTGGGAGGCTGAGGCAGGAGGATCACTTAATTGCCCAGGAGTTAGACAGTGAGGACAAGACAGTGAGACCCTATCTCTACAAAAATAAAATAAAATAATCCAGACATAGTGGTGCACACCTGTGGCCCCAGCTACTTAGTAGGCTGAGGTGGGCAGATTACTTGAGCCCAGGAGGTCAAGGCTGCAGTGAGCCGTGATTGTGCCAGTGTATTCCAGCCTGGGTGACAGAATGTCTCAAAAAAAAAAATGCAGGATGTGTTCAGTCCTCTTATTCCCCTACTCAGAACCTCCTGTCTACTCCCTACTCCTCAAGCCCACTGTATTTCTTTTTCTTCTTCAAATTGAACTTCTTCATCTTCCTGTTTAAACAGGAAGTTTTATAAAGAAATTCATGTCATTCAACCCCGAACAATTATATTTGAGGTCCCCTCCTAATAGTGGGGATGTTGAGTCCTGGGTAGTCCATAACAGTATATGTGATGTGTACAGAAATATCAAGTGTAACCTTTGTTTTTATTCATTCGACAAACATTTATTGAGCACCAACTATGTGCCAGGCATTGAGCTAGCTATGGAAGTGGTAATGCTGATGGGGGTTCAAAGACAAAATACTTGGCACTCTAATGAGAGATACCAATAAGTACAAGGACAATTATAATTCACTCTAATAATTGCTATAATCAAGGTTATCCTAGACTGCTGCATGAGCAGAAAAAAAAGGGGCATCTTATCTGGAGTGCTTGAGGAATAGTAAGCCTTGGAAGGAATGACTTCTCAGCTGATATCTGTAAGATGAGTAAGAAGAGGTGGCCAAGTAAAGAGTGCTGTAAGATGAGACATGACAGGGCAAGGCACAGCAGGAATCTATAGCAATGCACTATGCCTGATGCATAGAGTGGTGGGGAGAAGAGCCCACTCTGCTCTAGAAGGGCAGAATTGTGCAGGAATTTCTGTGCCAAGTTAAAAGCTAGAATTATATCCTGAGGGCAACTGAGAGTCACTAGAAGGTTTTAAGTAGGACAATAACATGAACGAATTTCTGTTTCTGCAAGATCACTCTGGCAATAGGGTAGACTGGAGAAAGACAAGACTGGAGTTGTGAGGCTAAGAGAGGAGGTATGGAAAGGCAAGTGAATACATTGTGAGGCACTGGTCATAACCAGGAAAGAAGTAGATGGGCTTAGGTGGAGAGAAGTGGACAGGTTCAAGAAATGCTAACAGGCCGAGCGCAGCGGCTACCACCTGTAATCCCAGCACTTTGGGAGGCCAAGGGGTGGATCACCTGAGGCTAGGAGCTCGAGACCAGCCTGGACAACATGGTGAAACCCCGTCTCTATTAAAAATACAAAAAATTAGCCGGGTGTGGTGGCGGACACCTGTAATCCCAGCTACTTGGGAGGCTGAGGCAGGAGAATTGCTTGAACCCAGGAGGTGGAGGTTGCAGTGAGCCGAGGTTGCACCACTGCACTCCAGCCTAGGCAACAGAGCGAGACTCTGTCAAAAAAGAAAGAAAAGAAACAAGAAAAGTAGGGAAAAGAAAAGAAAAGCTAACAAAGTGAAACTGACCATTGGAACAGTGGATGTATAGGATAAGAGAGAGGGAAATGCCTGGAGTGCCACCAGTTTTTGGCATAAGTAAGTGGTAGGATAATGGTGCCATTAACTGAATGCCTAGAAAAGGGTAGATGCTTGGTAGGCATGTGTTGGATGAACAGAGGACAAAGGATGAGAGCCAGGTTTGGAGGGAATAATTGGGCATAAGACATTTGAAGTGCTTATGAAACATGCTGGCCCAAGAGTCTAGTAGACAGCTGGCTATATGGGTCTGAAGCTCAGGAGAGAGGGCTAGGCTGGAGACATTGTTCCTGTAAAGACAGCCATGTGTTTTATGGAGACATACTATGCATAAAGAGATGTCATCATGCAAATGTGATTATGTGATTGTGGAACTGGACTGTGTTAGACAGAATCAAAATGGCATCCCAAATAATGTCTCCTCCCCCGCCAGGCCTTGTCCACCCACAACAGGAAGGGAGTTTGGAATCAGGACAGAGAGTAGAGGGTCCCACTGGAATCCACAGCCACCTTCCAATTGTCCCACTTTAAGAGCACTAACACTTGTAACAGAATCTGAAGTATAGTTGCCAGTCTCCCTGTTCAAACTCCAGTCTTCTTCATCTGAATGCTGGGCACTGATTCCTACACTAGTGCTTGGACTTGACTGCCCCCCGGCCCTCCGAGCAGGCCTTGATCTTTGGGCCTCACCTCCTGCTTTTTTAATGTATCCTGCTACTCCAGACAGAATTCGGAACTCCTCTAGTGGAATCCTGGCTCCCGCCCACCTGCATTGTGACTGCCTATACCTTGCTCTCTCAACAAAGCCTCCCTGGTGTAAGGGGGCACTGGCACTACAGGCAATCAGCATCAAGACAGAAGAAGCAAAGCCAAAAGCCACATCTAGACAGGCTTTAGATCCTGACAGACTATGGGTAAGACAAGAAAACTTAATCTGAGGCACGGAATTGTGAATTGTGGCCCTGACCACAGTCAAAGACCAGATGATGCCACTCTCCTTATTCATGTTATGGAACCTCAGGGTTATGCCTGAATACTGGCTCTCTCTTCCTCTTGAAGGAATGAGCTCAATTGTTTAATCAGGCAATCTACGTTCTCTCAGCAACCATTTTGTGCCAGGCCTTGTGCTAGGATGAGAGATACGGGTGAAAAGACAGCTCCCTTGAAGAACTCATGGACTAATAGGAATACAAGGGAATGATCTATTATAATGCAGTGTACTGCAACAGGAGTAGCACAAGGAGCTATGGATGGCAATAGGAGGGGCCCAGACAGACAGGGGAAGTCAGGGACACCTTTTTGGTGGAGGTGACATTTCAGTTGAGCCTTTAATTGGGACTAAGAATCCTACACCTGGCAGTCCCACTGCATGGGGCCTCATACAGGATTCTTGGCTAGAAGTTGGGGTACTCTCAGTTCTCATGGAGAATGAGAAAATCTGAATTGGAGGTGCCATCTGGTTATCCTCCCTCAGTTGCACAGCACCACCCTCACCTCAAGACTAGTCACGAAGCCAGGGATTCAGACCTCACTGCTGAACACCAGCTCTCGAGGGTTGTGACCTCTTGCTGGTGCCTACTCTCAGGGACACTTCTTAGCCTCACTTTCCTTTCCACGCCTCCTTGCTTAGCCTCAAAATATATAATTTTTGGTCTTCACCACTCATGACTGCTACCTACCCCTTTCTCCTGACCCTTGAAGAACCTTTGGCAGCCCTTCTTAGGTACACAGAGAGCATTGGTACAATAGCACCAGGAACACAGAGGGAGGTATTAAGGTACCAACGTGGAGACGTGAGAGGAAGCCCTCCTCCTACCTTCCAGCACCAGAGCTATCCAACCTCCTTCTCCTCTTCAGGACCTTCAATAAATATGCTCCTTAGGAGCCAATCCCATTGTCTGTACATCTGGCCAATCATCTTCCCTTTCCCTCACCTTAGACACTTCAAGAAAACAAAGCAAAGTTGGGCTTTAGTGGGATGAGGAGAGGAGATGAGAATCCCTGTGGTCACAGAGAACTCAGTGAGATTCATGTTCATCCTCAAACAAAATTTCATCTATAATCTTCCTGCTCAGAAACCACTCTCTTGAGTCATCTCTGGCAGGCTGACAAAGATGGAGTAGATCCTGGGTAGGAAGAGAACTGAAGACACTTCTGGGGTAATGAGAAAACCCTGAGGAAAAAGAAAATCTAAGGGGTAGAGGTGAGGACTTCCAGGTGGAGATAAAGATACCTGGGGGTGGGGAGAGGTAAGTTCCCCCCACCCCCTCACCTCCATCAAGGGATAGGTAAGAACACTTCGGGGGAGCTTAGAATTTTTTTACTTCTCACTTTTAATCCTGCATACCTAGGTCTCTACATTGGCTGGCGCTGCCCCCATTACCTATGGGACTGTTTCCGGATTGGGGATGAGTCCAGATGCTTTTGTGGACACTTGTTGAGAGAGCACCGGATCATCTCAGGTAGGGGAGAACTGACCAGCCCCTCTCGAGTGTGGAGGAATAACTGTACTCTGTCATGTCTTGGGAAGTATGAGAGAGAGCATGTGGCTGGGCACGGTGGCTCACCCCTGTAATCCCAGCACTTTGGGAGGCGGAGGCGGGTGGATCAAAGGTCAGGAGATCGAGACCATCCTGGCTAACACAGTGAAACACCGTCTCTACTAAAAAATAAATAAATAAATACAAAAAATTTAGCCAGGCATGGTGGCACGCACCTGTAGTCCCAGCTACTCAGGAGGCTGAGGCAGGAGAGTCACTTGAAGCCAGGAGGCGGAAGTTGCAGTGAACTGAGATCATGCCACTGCACTCCAGCCTGGGCGACAGAGCAAAACTCCATCTCAAAAAAAAAAAAAGCATGTCTGCGTGCATAGGGGGTGGTGGGGATGGAGGATGGGGTTGGCATGAGAAGGCAAGGTCCTATCAGATTAACCCTACCATCCATCCCCAATCCCACAGACATATCGGTGCCCTGCAAGGTAAGCCAGTGCCGCTGCTTCATGTTCTGCTTTATCCCATCACGCCCAGAGGAGGTGGGTGAGTTCTGGCTCAAGAGACGGGCCACCTTTGACCCCAAGGCCTGGAGGGCCCAATGTCGCTGCAAACACAGCCACGAAGAACATGCAGCCACTGGGCCCCATCCCTGCAGGCATCATGGTAACTTCTAGGGCAAGAGGTGTATTGGGAGCAGGGTAGGTGGGGATAGGATGCAATCTGGGGATAATGATGGAGAGCAGGTATGAGAGCCTTGGGCATGCGGTCACTGAGGAAGAGATGAGAATGTGGTCAGCTCCTGGGGATACCACCATTTCCTAAACTCTTCTTGGCTGCACTTTTGCCCCAGGCTGTTGCTGCGGCTGTTTTGAGTCTAATTTCCTCTGTGCGGCCTGTGACCGGCGCTGGGAGGAACACGAGACTTTCTTTGACACCCAGAAGACCCGGCAACGAGGAGGAAGGCCTCGCGGTGAGGCAGAAACCTGGGACAGGGGGCCATTCCAGGGTCTGTAGTCAGAAGGCCAGGCAGGAAGGCACTCCCATCCTCAACCATCCCTTCCAGGACTAGCGCGCTCCCTCAGCCCACCTCCCCACCACCCACCTACCTGCATCCCACATCTGCACTGGTTTTCACCCCCAGGAGCAGACTATGTACCTTTTGCAGAGATGGCTGTGCTCCGAGAAGCCATCCTCAGCAACTCTGACTTCTAGGCCCTGCAGATACAGGGGCCCTCTGGCCTTCCCAGCTCCCACCCTAGTCCCCCGGGGCTCCCTGGTTCACACGGTCTCCAGCCTGGCCTCCCTTCTGACCCCCATACCTGACCCTTTCACCTCTGCTCTTTCTTCCTCCAGGGACAGACACTGTCAGCAACTGGCACAGGCCTTTGTGAGTCTGGCCCAGATCAGCAATAAAAGAGGAGTCATTGGAACCTGACTTGGCTCTATATGGGGCAGGTAGATCCCAGCCCAGGGAGAGACTGCCTAATAACTTAGAGTTGACACCTATTAGACACAGGAGAAAGCCTGGATCTGGCCATCTGCCTCCATCACACTCACATTCAAGCTGCCTGTTGAAGGAAAGTGGCTTCAAGGAAGTCAAGAAGGGAGGAAGTTTCAAGAAGGATAGAGTGGGAAGTGATGTTAGATGCAGTTGGGGCACCAATAAGATAAAGACTGAAAAGTGTCCATTGGGTTTTGCAATTAGAAGATCTTTGGGAACATCGGAGAGTGCAGTTTCACACTGGTGCAGTGGAGGCAGGAGTCAAACAGCAGTGAGTTTCAAGGAGTCTCTTAAAGAAGCTTGGATGAAAAGTACAAAAGTAAAGTCAGACAATATCCAGAGGGAGTTGTGGAGTCAAGGAAGTACTTTTGTAGGAAGGAAAAGGGGAAGAGGCCAGTAGACTAAAGGACCTTGAAGGACCCAGAAGAGAGAGAAGAGATGCCTGGTGAGACAAGATCCCAGAGATGGAGGAAAGGGATGAGGTCAAAGCAGAGGTGAAGGGATTTTCTCTGGACAGGAGAAACACCACTTCCTATGACCAAGACGAAGGAAGAGGATGGAGCCTTCCTAGAGTTTCAGGGAACAAGAACCTGTGGAAGTTCCCCTCTGATGGCTTCTATATGCCCTGTGAAGTAGGAGATAAGGCCAATGGCTGGGGTCCAGGGGAAGAGGGATAAGAGTAGGGAGCAGGAGACAAGAAGAGAAAGGGGAAGGTTTGGGAAGGCTAATGTAGGGAACTGGAGAAAAACCTCATCAGTGGGTAGTTCAGGATTCGGGCACAGTTGGAAGTGAGAACCTAGTTAGAGAAGCAGAGAATCCAAATATTTAATGGGTTGATGATGTGAGGGTGTCAGGGAGGAAGATCAGGAAAACTAAGCAAAAGAAGGCATGAGGATGTGAAGGGAGCATACAGCACCAATAGGGAAAGAAAGTGATGCCAGGAGGCAAATGACAGATTGAAAAAGGGAGCAGTCAAAGGAAGAGAAGTCTCTAATGAGGTACAGTAGCAGACGTAGGGGCAGGGGTTGGAGTACAAGAGACAGTGTTCAGAGGCTGCAGAGCATAACATCTTTCAGATGAGGGCAAGTGAAGGTGATAAGTGCTTGAAGTAGAGAAAACTGTGGGCCAAGGATCAAAATCAGTGAATGTGGGAAGTCACAAGGGAGTCCATAGGTTCTTATGGGAGTAGGAGATTCCAGCACTAATGGGCTCTGTGAACCCAGGCAAGTCACTGTCCCTCTTTAGGCTGAGTTTCTGGACCTGTAAAACAGGAATAACCTCTGTGTTGCCTACTTTCTATGAGAACCAAAGAAATAACTAATTTCAAAGTGCTTTGTATCCACCTATCCTCCAGACTGGCTTCCTTCCTCTTCCTAGATCCCAGATCCACTTATCTCTCGCCCTTCTCCAGGGCAACTCTAGGGTCTCCCAGTGTCCCAGAGGCACCACAGAGAACTGCAGCCTCTGGGGCCCAGAGAAGAGGCCATTCTACATTTCCTCACAATTAGGGGGGCCATCTGTTCCTCCAAGGGAAGGAATGCAATCTGGACTGCTAGGATCCCTGGGGAAAATCACAGAATCAAATGTCTGCCCTTTAGAGGAGAAAGGATTTTCTAACAATAATATAGCTATACAAAAGAGATTGTTATATCTCTAGAAGCAAAGTTCCCCAACAGTGGTTATATGCCCCATGATAACCATTCACCTAAAACTAATTCAACTAATAGTCAACAATAGAGTTAGGATTACTATGATAAACTCATTGAAGGAAATAATAAGCAGCCAATACAAACTATATTTACGTAGACTGTAAAAATATGAAAAATTGATTACACATGGGTTAGTATCATATGCAATACATATTACATATTATGAAAAAAAGACAGGAAACACCAAATGTTATTCATTCAACAATTACTGACCACCTATATGTATCAGGTCATGTGTTTAAAAAAAAAAAAAAGAAAAAAAGAAAAACCAAAGAAACAGTGGTAACTTGTCCTATGTGATATCAGACTAAAACTTACCTAGCGTCTGAGAATATTAGTATTTTGTGACCCCACGTTTCTTATGTCAAAAATATATATTCCAGCAGTGCAAACCTGACTTATTGGTGCCTCATACCTGTAATCCCAGCACCTTGGGAGGCCGAGGCAGGAGGATCACGAGGTCAGGAGATCGAGACCATCCTGGCTAACACGGTGAAACCCCGTCTCTAATAAAAATACAAAAAATTAGCCGGGCGTGGTGGCGGGTGCCTGTAGTCCCAGCTACTCGGGAGGCTGAGGCAGGAGAATGGCGTGAACTCGGGAGGCGGAGCTTGCAGTGAGCCGAGATCGCGCCACTGCACTCCAGCCTGGGCGACAGAGCGAGACTCCGTCTCAAAAAAAAAAAAAAAGAAAAAAGAAAAAAAGAAAAAAAAAGAAAACACCAGGCACCGAGCTAACTGTATCACACACCTTTTCCGATTAGAAAAGAACAATGAATACATACTCCTTTGCTTATTATAATTCTTGTGCGGCAAATATAGGACACTCTTATCTCCTCCTGCTCAAAAAAAAAAAATGCAAAAACCACAGACTTTTTAATCTATGGAGTGAATGCGTTAACAAGAACATAGAATTAAGGAAGAATTTCCCTTAGATAAGTACATTAAAATCTCCAAAATGCTCAAGGGACTGAAACTGCCCTTGTGGAGAAAATGCTGCGCATCAGCCCCGCCAGTTAAAACAAACAAACAAACACAAAAAAACACACCTCATCCCCGTTCACCTTTAGCCCCACCCCGGGTGGTTCTTGGAGCCAATAAGCGCCGGATGCCCTCAGAGCCCCGCCCTCCTCCTGGCCAAAGCGGTGAGAGGGTCTAAAACAGCCCTTTCTGCAGCAGGTGGCGGAGCCCCGCCCCCTTCTCCCCGCGCACCAATAGGAACCAGACCTGAAGAGGACGAACCAAGAACGAAAAGAACCACCCACTCGGGAGCCGCAACCTAGAAGCCAGAGTTGTGTATCAGATTCAACTAGGAGAAAATCCCACCTCCAGGCTCCATTAATCCTTCCAATGGAGTGGAAGTTTCTCTCACAGAGAAACTAGTAAGGGGATCCAATGGGAAAAGAACGTTCACACGGACTAGAAGACGAAACCAATGGAATGGAAAATTGTCCTCGCGTTGGTAGAAGCAGCCAATGAGATGAAAAGAGCCCGCCTCCAAAGTGGCTGCAGAGGCAATGGGGTGAATCGTGCTCAGAGGCGCGCTCCAATGGGGTAGCAGGGCTCGCCCGGCCGCCACTACCCCGCTTCCCCGCGCCCGGAGTCCCCACCCACGGCCGGCCGCGGAGCCGAGTGCTGACCCGGGTGAGAGGTTCCCGCGGCTCAGGGAAGATGGCGGCAGCCGTGGTGCTGGCTGCTGGGTTGCGCGCGGCGCGCAGAGCCGTGGCGGCCACGGGGGTGCGCGGGGGGCAGGTGAGAAGTGGCGCGGGAGCGAGTAGGGGGTCCTGCGGGCTCCGAAGCCATCCGGGGCCAGGGGGTCCCGAAGGCGCGCAGAGCCGCGCAGAGCTCCTGCCTGTGGCCTCTGCCCCTCCGAGGCACAAGCTCCGGGGCTGTGTGGTGAGGTCGAACTGGTGGCTCCGGAGAACGAGCTGGTGCTGATTCCCGCCCTGCGCAGGCCGGGGCGCCGAGGTCGGGACAGGGTCAGTGCAGCGGCTGCCGCCTTCTTTCCACTGCCTGCAGCCCAGCTGGCCCGATGCCCCCTGCAGGAAATGAGCTTTCTCTTCTTGGAGCCAGTGCTCTGCCCTCCTCAGGCTTCTGGCCTCCTAATGAGCACTAGTGTTAACCTCTCTTCTGCACTTGCCAGAAGCGGCTCGGAGGTCAGAGAATTCATTCCGTCCCGTTCTCCCCCAACGTGATGCAATGACATCAGCCTTCTCTGAATCCCTTACCCGAAGTTCCCTGGGGCTAGGGGAGCAGAGGTCACTTAGCTGAACTCTTACCTCCACTCATTCAAGGGACAAGAGTTAAAATTCACAGAGTCACATGTGACACCCAGATGAGGGGTCAACTAGTGTCAAACAGGGCGATTGCATTAAAACTTAAATAAAACAGGCGACAAGGCTTAAAGATCAGAAAACAAGTAACGGAAATAAGTGGAAATGTACTAACAAGGTGAGAGTGGAAAGAGATTCAAGCCATCGCAAGAGATTATGGAAACCATCCCTTTATTTTATATTAGAAGCTGAGAGAAGGAATTTATCTGAGGTAATTCAGTGGTATGGTAAGGTAGGAACTGAGACCAAAATCCCCAGTCTCTCATTCTAGATCCTTTCCCTAAACAGTGCTATATTTCGTGGACACATGAGCAGGAATCAATTGCACTGCTGAATCCTGATAATAATACCGCCTGTTATCTAACCAGGTCCAGCACCTTCTGGCCCTACCCTTTGCTGCTGGTGCTCTGAAATTCAGGAACTTTCCTCCTGGGTGGGAACGATGAATAGGTTATTAGAAGGACGAAATTAACAACTATCAGAGCCCAGCTTCTGCCAGCTCCCTCCTTTGAATATGGTCGATCCACCTTCAGGTCCGAGGAGCTGCAGGTGTGACTGATGGGAATGAAGTGGCCAAGGCCCAGCAGGCAACTCCTGGGGGAGCAGCCCCAACCATCTTCTCCCGGATCCTGGACAAGAGCCTCCCAGCTGACATTCTCTATGAGGACCAGCAGGTGGGGTGCTCTTAGGACCTATCCCCTTAGGAATGTTGTAGATACCATCCAACCTGTTGAAGTAACGTGGCCTCTGGCCTGTCACTTCCCCCAGTGTCTTGTGTTCCGTGATGTGGCCCCTCAGGCTCCTGTGCACTTCCTGGTCATTCCTAAGAAGCCCATTCCTCGGATTAGCCAGGCTGAAGAAGAAGACCAGCAGGTGGGAAGAACAGGGCCAGGGTTTGGCTGGGAGGAGCCCCTGGACCCAGCTAGAGGTCTTGCTCCCTATGAATGAAGCCACCTATGTCCCTCCGCTCTCTCTATAGCTTCTAGGACACCTACTCCTTGTGGCCAAGCAGACAGCAAAGGCTGAGGGCCTGGGAGATGGATACCGACTTGGTGAGTGACTTTTGGCCCTTGGTCCCTCACCTATGAATTCTCATTCCTACTTCTCAATATGATCTTCATTCTTCGACCTCTGCCATGATCCTGACTCCCTAACCCCAAGCTCAATTTCAGTGATCAACGATGGGAAGCTGGGTGCACAATCTGTGTATCATCTGCACATTCATGTACTTGGGGGCCGGCAGCTCCAGTGGCCTCCAGGTTGAACCTGCCAACTGATTAAAGGACACCAGACTCTGGATGCTTGGATGGAAAGGGAAAAATGGACCCTGTGATGCTAATAAAACTGTTCTCCCTTAATTATGCTCTCCTGTCTTTAATATAAAATTTTATACCACAAAGGGGAAAGAAAACTGATTCAGGGCTATGATGCCCCTTGACTGGTCTGAGTGAAAGACACTGAGGAGGTCCAACCTGTGGTTAAATGTTGCCTGCAGATATGTAAGTCTTCTTGACAAGTGGTCCACCCTAGGTCAAGCTTCTAGAAAAGTAACAGTAGGAATGAGCCTAAATGAGTAGGAAGAAACTGAAAGCCAATCCTGGCCCTTCTTCAGAGGTCAAACCAGGTTCTAAGGGCGCTTAGGAGGAGGGTGGTCAATATGAGGGTCTTTTATTAGAGGAGGAGTAATCACACCCAAACAAAAGCGGCTGCCTTTTCACTATTCTACGTCTCACCATTTTGCTCAAGCTAGTTTGTTTATTTTCATCCTTAACATTTGTTAAAGACCCCACTCACTTTTGAGAATGAACTAAGCAAACTAAGGGGAAGCTACTTGCCTCTCAGCAAACACCAAGTAGGCTGTAATCTAATGCCACAACCCTGTGCCTGTTTCCAACATATCCCCATAAAGCATCATCTTAGAAAACCGCACGCAAAGACTGTTTGGACGTGGAGGGCGAGGTCTTAAGCCAGCGGAACCCTAAAACCCCGTCTGAGGCGGAATGCCGCCGGGACCGGAAAGCGGACCTCCCTAACAGCACTAGGCTGAAGACTTCCGCCCCGCAGAGGACTTGCCTCCACCGCCACCTGCAAGTCCGCCCAGCTGTACTTCTGCGCAGGCTCCAGGAGTTGTTTGCTGTCTCTATGGCAACCCAGTAGCTGGAGTCTGAAGATGGAGACCAACGAGTCTACGGAGGGATCGCGGTCGCGGTCGCGGTGAGAGCCGCAGCTCTGGCTGCAGGCATAAGGGGACGAGGAAGGTCAGCTGACTTCCTCTGCTGCGCTTTTGACAGCCATGTCGTGTTTGCTTTCTTTCAGATCTTTAGACATACAGCCCAGCTCCGAAGGACTGGGGCCCACTTCGGAACCGTTTCCTTCTTCAGATGACAGTCCCAGGTCGGCCCTGGCAGCTGCAACCGCAGCAGCTGCAGCGGCTGCATCAGCTGCTGCAGCTACTGCAGCCTTCACCACTGCCAAAGCAGCTGCATTATCTACAAAGACCCCAGCGCCCTGTTCTGAGTTCATGGAGCCGTCCTCTGACCCCAGCCTTCTTGGGGAGCCCTGTGCGGGACCCGGCTTTACCCACAATATAGCCCATGGGAGTCTTGGCTTTGAGCCCGTCTATGTTTCCTGTATTGCTCAGGACACTTGCACTACAACTGACCATAGTTCTAATCCTGGCCCTGTTCCAGGCTCTAGCTCTGGGCCTGTTCTTGGTTCCAGCTCAGGTGCTGGCCATGGCTCTGGCTCTGGCTCTGGTCCTGGCTGTGGCTCTGTCCCTGGCTCTGGCTCTGGTCCTGGTCCTGGCTCTGGTCCTGGCTCTGGTCCTGGTCATGGCTCTGGCTCTCATCCTGGTCCTGCCTCTGGGCCTGGTCCAGACACTGGCCCTGACTCTGAGCTCAGCCCCTGTATTCCTCCAGGGTTCAGAAACCTGGTGGCAGATCGGGTCCCTAACTATACCTCCTGGAGTCAGCACTGCCCCTGGGAGCCCCAGAAACAACCACCTTGGGAATTTTTGCAAGTCTTAGAACCGGGTGCCCGAGGACTATGGAAACCCCCAGACATTAAAGGGAAGCTTATGGTTTGCTATGAAACTTTGCCGCGGGGCCAGTGCCTCCTCTACAACTGGGAGGAAGAGGTATTAAAGTTTTGGCCTGCTCCCTTTTCTTGAAGGCTGCCCTCAGTTTCTTAGGGGAGGCAGTAGTTTACATGAGGGTGGGTACCAGAAGGGATATTATAGTCATTCAACTTGGGATCCACAGAGAGCCACCAACCACCTGGATCAAGTCCCAAGCATGCAGGATGGCTCTGAGAGTTTTTTCTTCCGACACGGACACCGGGGACTGCTGACTATGCAACTAAAGTCACCCATGCCCTCCAGCACCACCCAGAAAGACTCGTACCAGCCACCAGGAAACGTCTATTGGCCACTTCGAGGTGTGAAATGTGAGAGGGTAGGCCAGAACGAGCCCATTACTCAGAGGGAAGAAGAGGAAGGAATTTCTGGTGGGGCTGTGGATTCTCCAGTGGATATAAGGGCGGAACCCCAAGGTTCTTCTTCCTTTTCTCAAGTTAGTTTCTTCTGGGCCTCCTTCTTAACCAGACCCCACCTTGCCCACCCCCCAACTCTCTCACAGGGAAGCGTGAAGCCATGCTGGAGATGCTCCTGCAGCATCAGATCTGGTAAGGGATTGGGTAAAGGGGAAGAGGGATGGGGAGGAGAAAAATTGGGTGAGAATGGCCTTGACACCCCTCGGGCTACATAGTAAAGAGGTGCAGGCAGAACAGGAACCCACAAGGAAGCTCTTCGAGGTTGAGTCTGTGACACACCATGACTACCGAATGGAGCTGGCACAAGCAGGGACTCCTGCCCCAACAAAGGTGAGAACCCACCCCCCATCCCCCGCCACTTGCACCAGCTGGGCTCTGACAGGCTGTGGCCAAGTACCAAGCCCAGAGGTTGAGAGAGAGGGCTGAAGGCCAGGAGTTACTCAGTACCCTCCCTCACAGCCTCACGACTACCGCCAGGAGCAACCTGAGACCTTCTGGATACAGAGGGCACCACAGCTGCCGGTGTGTGAGGGTGACTAGGTGTTGGGGGCAGAGCGGGGCAGGAAAGGTAGGGCAGAGTTGTTTTGTTCTGGCTTGGGGAGAGTGGGATCCATCCTCATCCTGGCACTCCTCCAGGGTGTCAGTAACATCAGGACATTGGACACACCATTCCGGAAGAACTGCAGCTTCTCAACACCAGTACCCTTGTCTCTGGGGAAACTTTTGCCCTATGAACCTGAGAATTACCCCTACCAATTGGGAGAAATATCTTCCCTTCCCTGTCCCGGAGGAAGGCTGGGTGGTGGAGGGGGGAGAATGACTCCTTTCTGAGGGGTGAGGAGGGAAGTGGGGTATGGAATATGGAATCTATTTCTGTCTGCACTAGAGAGGTCGGGAGGAAGTTAATTCTCACTGTACTTGAAGAGGCTTTACATAAAGGGTTCTCTCTCATCCCAAGACTGCTAATTTAGTGATTCTGTGAGTCACTGTGTGCATACCCCATAACCTTTCCTTGGGATTGCCCCTATCCCACACTATGACATCAGAACTTTTTTTATTATTGTTTTATATTTGACCAAAATATTCTGGTTTAGATACAGATATTTACAGAAAGTAGGGAGGAAGGGGACCAAGCCAGAGAGGGACAGGTATATGTACAGGGCTGAGCTGCAGAGGGCTACAACTTCCATATAAGGTAGGTTTTTTTGTGGCTGTTTTCCATTGCATATGAAAATGTCCATTTCTGGTGTGTGCAGACATGGTGGCCATTGCCCACCCAGGTACCAGCAGCAGAAGACTATCTGACTTGGAAAGAATGGGGGTTTACAGGAGTCCAGGAGGTCCTTTCCGCTCTCCTAAGAGCCAGTATGTTCGCATCTTTCCTTTTCCCTGGAAGTGGGAGAGTGGACATGATTCAGATGCTTCGATGTTAGTCCCTTTGTCTCCCTCTCTTTCCCTATGATTCCCATAATCACTTTCACCCTCCCTTTCCATGCCCCCCTCCCCATGGCCTGCCATCACCTTCATTTCCACATCCCCCCGAAGCTCTAGCTGGAAGCATCCTAGCTCATCTAGGGCATCCTTGGTGGTAGAGGAGACATGGATCTTCAGCGCTGGGGTGGGTGGAATGGGGAGGATGGTGGAATGAGGAATCAAAGAAAAGGCAATCAAATAATTGGTGATACTGTATAGCACCGTGCCCGACCAACCATCCCTGGGAAGCTCCCAATGCATATCTATTAGGACCAAAATATGCCCAACCTCCCAATGCATATCTATTAGAACCAAAATATGCCCGAGGATGCGACACTAAGGAACTGTGGTCTCTCAGATTAAGAAATTGGAGGGATTATGAAAAGAAGAAAAGGGCAAGATAAATTGAGGCCAACAGTGGGGTTGAGGGCTAATGTCTTACCTTGACCATTAGACTCCATTCGAGAAGCAGTGTTCACTGTGTCTCCAAAAAGACAATAACGGGGCATCTTCAGGCCAACAACCCCAGCACAGACTGGCCCTTTGAGAAGAAACAGGTTGGGAGAGTCTGGGAAAGGTGGAGACTAGGGCTGGAGTGAGAGTCAGCCTTACCAGTATGGACCCCTATGCGTAGCCTCAGCTGGTCATGGGGTCGGTGGCGGATGCGAAAGGAAGAAACTGCATCTAGTAATGCTAGGGCCATACGAGCAATTTCTGGTGCATGGCGTTGACCATTTCGGCCTGGGAGGCCAGATACCACCATGTAAGCATCCCCAATCGTCTCCACCTGATTGAGAGGGGGATTAAAAGGTCACCTCTATTTATATCCATGGGGATGGGAAAAAGTAGAGGGAGACAAGCTTGACACCATCATTAATCATCCTGACATGCTGGAGACCAGAATATTGACTAGAAAATAAGTGCCATGGTCCTGAGTCTAGGGGAGAGGAGATGTCTAGGGAATCTTTAAGTCTTCTTTCTCCACCCAGCACCTGGTGAATACTCAGTAAACATTTGCGGAATGAATGAACACCCTGTCTGCAGCAGGACATGGACAAATAGGCTCTGCCATCAGGAAATGGGAAGCAAGAAAACGGTAACTCAAGAGGACAGAGGCTGGTGAGGAGGTAAAGCAGGCCCAGTGAAATGGACCTGACAGCCCAAACTGTCAGAGAGGAGGAAAGCAGGCATTTGATTTTGGTAATTGTGCCAAAGCTATGTAAGAGAATAAATGCCATTGTTTTAAGGAAATACACAGTGAAGTTTTTAGGAAATACACACTAAGTATTTAGGGATAAAGTAGTTATCCCTAAATAGTAGTCTGCCACATGCCAAACAATGTTAGGTACTTTCCATACAACGAATCTATTATTCCCATCTTACAGATAAAACAACTGAGGCTCAGGGAGATTCTGTGACTTACCTAAGGCCACACAGTTAGCAACAAGCCAATATTCAAATCCAGATGATTTTTACTCCCAAGGACAATAAATCCAACTCAATAACTTCAACAAAAAGTTTTACTTTTTAAAATATATTTTCCCTCACCCCACTAAATCAGTCTGGACCCACATCCTATATGATTCTTCCATGTCTGGAGAGGACTGGAGAGAAATGTTGGATAGGCTGTATTTATACTCCAGGAAGATAGGAGCTAAATCTCATGATGGTTCTGATTAGGGAAGTCAAAGGATTCACAAGAAATTCGACTGGAGTGTACAATTATAGTGCTGGAGCTACATCTGTCTACGAAGTACACTCCAGCACCAGGATGCTGAGTACCCTGGAGGGAAAACTGATCATGGGGTGGGTAAGGTGTGTGGGGTTCAGGGAGACTGAGTTTCAAAGCGGGTCTCTATTAAAGGGTCTTCTATTGAACAGCGGCCCCAGCTCTCACCTTGTAGACATCAAAGTTGTCAATTATGGCATCAAAGCAGGTATACAGGTCATTAAGAAGTGTCACTACCTAAAAGGGATAGAAAAGCAGAGGCCCTGAGACTTGTGCCCAATTTTCTAAGAATTCTTAACCCACAAGCCATCAAAAGATGTGGGAACTCTAGAACAAACTCATCTTTCCTATTATCAATGAGGCTTCCCCAGGTCCCTACCCACCCAACCCCACCCGCCACCTCTCACCCATGGCTCTCACCTGCATGGGGGTGCTCTCTGCTGACAATGCTGTGAAGCCAACAATGTCACTGAAGTAGATGGTAACACTGTCAAAGGCCTCAGCCTGTACAGTCTCTCCCCGTTTTAACTGCTCTGCCACTGAACTAGGAAGCAAGGGTGCCGTATGAGCCAAACTCCAAGAGAGCAGGAGTGGAAGAGAGAGGGAAAGTGTATGTGGCTGCAGCAGAGATGAGCTGTAACAAGAAAGCTAGGCTTTTCAGGTGGGAGGGAGGAAAGTGGCTGGGAAGACATTACAGTCTAATGCAAGGTAAGGCACACAAGTGGCGGGGGGGTTTGAGGGGAATCCCTGTGCATGGGAGCTGTCTCAAGTTGGGACTGTTTTACATACACTTGCTGAAGCAAGGGTGTGGTAGAGCAGGGTCTTAAGAAGAAGGGATGGGCAGCCAGTAAGAAGGCAGCATAGCTGATGTGGAGACAGAATGACAGCAAATAATCTATAAGCAGGGGTGCTCCCTGTGGCCAGCAGGGTTCTGAGGGTGGGGAGGCGAGTTCTCAGGTGCCTGATGAGGCAGAGCCCAACAGAGCAGAATCCCAAAAGAAAATACAGGAAGGGGGACAAAGTCTCACTGGGGTAGGATTTGGTAGAGCAGAGCTTCAGCCTTGCGTTTTTCCTCCAGATAGGCCTGTGTGCGTTCCTCCACCAGCTTCTCCAAGTTATTGGCATACTGTTCCATGCGCAGCAGGAGGTTGTCCAATATGCTGGTGCCACCCTCCCTAGAGGGAGGCCAGGATAAGGCACTTGCTCTAAGATTCTGAAGATTCCCAGGACTTCCTATCCAACCCACCCTCTGGTCCCACCTGCCCCACTTCATGCACTAGGACTAATGAGTCTTCTATCCCTGGGAAGCCCCTGCCCCATAATGCCCTCTCACTTGTTAAAGCGCCGAATGAAGCCCTTAATCTGTCCAAAGTCTGGCCGCTCAGCTGGGTCCTGAGCCCAACATCGCTCCATCAGCAAAACTAGCTCTTCATTCAGTTGGGTCCGGTCAATGCTTGGCCGGAAATATGGCCGCTGACCATTTCGTACCTTCTGGACAATCTCTGAGGGTGATCAAAGGTTTGGATGAAGAACAGAGTTCCCCCAGGAAGAAGAGGCTGTGGGTAGTGGATTGACTCTTACCTTTGGGGCTGAGGTCCAGGCCCTCCAAGTAGAAAGGACCACTGCGAAGTGCTATCTCCTGCAGGATGATCCCAAAGCTATAGACGTCAGCCTTCTGCATGCCTGTGGTTGGCAAGGGGTTCCCACTGAGCAGTTCTGGGGCAGTCCACAGCTTCTCTGAAAAGAGGAAACCGGCTGGCCAGGTCCCCCGAAATGGGGCACCCCCAAGCCCACCTGGGCTCATCCCTATATTACTGTCACTCCACCTCCCTCTCCCACCATCCCTAGGTGGAAAGAGGAGCAATATAAAAAGTGGGTTGTGGGGGTGGGCCTCACTGGCATAGAGGGCATGGCTGTCATCAGGTTCAGCAGTTGATCGGAAGCTGGCCAGGCCATAGTCTGTGATTTTGAGCACAAAACGACTATCCACCACACAGTTGGAGGACTTGAGACTCCCATGCGATGAAATAATGCTGTTGTGGAGAAAGGCCATGCCCTGCAGGGTACAGATCAAGTCATGGGATTGGATCATATCTGGCTTAGAATACCCTCTCTCCATGAGATGGGCACTGGCTAGCTGTCTACAGATCTTGGGTCCACAAAAATAATAAGCTGATTTTGGAAGGCATCCTTTGCAGTTTCCACCCAAGGAAGCAGGAAGAACAGAAGAGTCATCTGTTCCTGGTATCATAAGCAGGACACAGGCACCCAGCCACCAGGGACAGGGAAAATGCTTAAAAAGAGGGATAAGTGGAGCTACAAATGACTACCCTGGAGAGGGCAGTCAATCTTCTTGATTAGTGAAGAGAACAGAACTTGGGTGAAGACCAAAATGATATAACACCCATGGTGGCCTCAGATACCTGGCTACTAATTAGGAAGACATGACTTGAGACCCAGGTATCAAGAGTAGCTGGATATACCAAGGAAGACCAGTTGTAAACTTTAATGCATAACCAGGCGTAGGTGGGCAAGTCGGGGTAGAGGAGGAACAAGATCTACTAGAGGGAGGTGGGCAGGTCGGGGTAGAGGAGGAACAAGATCTACTAGAGGGAGGTGGGCAGGTCGGGGTAGAGGAGGAACAAGATCTACTAGAGGGAGGTGGGCAGGTCGGGGTAGAGGAGGAACAAGATCTACTAGAGGGAGGTGGGCAGGTCGGGGTAGAGGAGGAACAAGATCTACTAGAGGGAGGTGGGCAGGTCGGGGTAGAGGAAGAACAAGATCTACTAGAGGGAGGTGGGCAGGTCGGGGTAGAGGAGGAATAAGATCTACTAGAGGGAGGTGGGCAAGTCGGGGTAGAGGAGGAACAAGATCTACTAGAGGGAATGCTGGATCAGAGAGAAAGTGCAGAACATCATAAACCTGGAAAATGGACAAAATCTGCTAAGCCAGTGCAGAAGCCTAAAACTGCTGGCTCTGTGGGTCCAGAGAGGGAAAAACCTTTGCCTCCGAGGAGCTGAAAGACAGTCTTAAAGGCCGGGCTCAGTGGCTCATGCCTGTAATCCCAGCACTTTGGGAGGCCAAGGCTGGCAGATTGCTTGAGCCCAGCAGTTCAAGACCAGCCTCAGCAACATGGCGAAACCCCACCTCTACCAAAAATATAAAAATGAGCCGGGCACTGCAGCACACGCTGTGGTCCCAGCTACTCAGGAGGCTAAGATGGGAGAATCACTTGAGCCCAGGAGGTCGAAGCTGCAGTGAGCAGTGACCTAGCCACTACACTCTAGCCTGGGTGACAGAATAAGACCCTGTCTCAGAAAAAAAAAAAAAAAAGTCTTAATGATGCTCCCCAAAAATGAAACCCTAGGAGCCACCCAAGTCAGTTCAGGTGAGACAGAAAGAGGATACAAGGTTCAATATGCTAACAAAAAACATTTCTGTCTAAATGTTTAGCTCTGGACTTAATTCATAACTCTAATCTCTATGAATTCTTCCTTTTTATTTATTTTGGTATCAACAAAACTTTTGGGAATCTCTGAAGTTGTGAATTTACTTGTGTGGAAACTGTGCAAAGGATGCCTTCAACAATCACAGGATTAGGCTTCTGGCTTTGTTGTAAATCACTTTTCCACCAAATCACTGTTCTCTCAAGAGTCGTGTCTTATGTTTATCATCACACCTCTAGTTGAGCATGACATTGGCTTTACTAATATTTTTATCTCTCATTTGATAGCAAATTTTCACACACAAAAAAATACTTTTTAAATAACTTCATGAGAATTCAGCAGAAAACCAAAGCTAGTTTCAGATACAGTGTGGGGTGATCCACTGGGATGCTCATTGGCTATGAGACTTATTTCAGAAAACCTGTCCAACTCATGCAAGATTCTATTTTATGCTCCACAAATCCATGGGCCTCTGAGTCATTTGAACATAGCTAAAACCTAGTATAACAGAAGAGTACCAAAGGTTTTTAGTACAATCTTCCTTGGTTTCTCTTAGTTCTACTAGTAAATGTTCCTTTTTTAAATTTCAGTTTTCTGAACAAAAGGGCAGACATGCCAAATATTGGTCAGAGAGTAAAATAATGAGAGGAAAAACAGGAGATAAATATGTTCGGAGAGTAAAATAATGAGAGGAAAAACAAGAGATAAATATGTTCAGGCCGGGCGCGGTGGCTCACGCCTGTAATCCCAGCACTTTGGGAGGCCGAGGCGGGCGGATCACGAGGTCAAGAGATCGAGACCATCCCGGCTAAAACGGTGAAACCCCGTCTCTACTAAAAATACAAAAAAATTAGCCGGGCGTAGTGGCGGGCGCCTGTAGTCCCAGCTACTTGGGAGGCTGAGGCAGGAGAATGGCGTGAACCCGGGAGGCGGAGCTTGCAGTGAGCCGAGATCCCGCCACTGCACTCCAGCCTGGGCGACAGAGCGAGACTCCGTCTCAAAAAAAAAAAAATATGTTCAGAGACTCCACTCATTTTATGAGTTCTTAGAGGTAAAAGAGATGATGGAAAGAGACCTGAGATATTTAAGACAGAAAGATAGAAACTCTCTACAGGCACAGGACTCCTTGTGGCAGGTAAAACTCACTGTCCCAGTTATAAGCCCCAGACTCCTTGTTTACCCATTATTACCAGACCATGGGAATAAGGGGAGATGAGAGAACAGGACTTCAGAGGACTAGAAGGAGAAAAACCACAATCAAAGAACAGTGGAAGTGATTTAAAGTGGATGAACTTTTAAGGAGTGGGGAAGACTCACCTTAACAAGGTCATTAATGAGTGAATAACGAAACATCCAGTCCAAGTTGATGCTGTCATTTTCTAGAATATCCTGGTAAGTGACATGGAATAGACTGTCTGTCCTGGTCCCACCAGCTATCACCCAGCATAGAGTCAGTATAACTTTGGGTCTATCCTTCCCACCCCTGCCATAATCTCCTACACCTATCCCTCACCTGTAAACTCCCACGAGGACAGTATTCAGTGACAATGCAAATGTTGGGAGGGTCTATGCAGGCGCCAATGAAGCGAGTGAGATGGTTGAACTGAACATCTCTCATCTGGCAGAAAAAAACAATGGGAAGGATAAGAAAATTGAAAGAGTTAAAAATTAGATACAGAAACTTACCACTACATAAGAGGACCTTTCTCTTAGTTGTATCTACGATTTTAAAATCATTTATAAATCAACCCCTTGCCCATCTAGCCAATTTTACTATTTCATAGTTTTCCCCACTCCTCCATTACATACATGTTAGAGTCCATCCTCTGTTACATACATGTTTGAGTTCAAACAGAACCTGCCGGGTCAGCTCAATGCGCTTCTTATTCACATGTTTGATGGCGACAACATTTCCCTGATGGTGGGAGTGAAAGGGGAAAGGAAAGTGAATATCAGAAGTTCTGGGTACAAGGAAATGCTAGAGAGCAGTGGAAGCACCCAGGAGCTCAGCTGGGCACAGAGAGTCGGGTATGAGGGACAGAGGTTCAGGGGCAGAGGTGGCAGATGGGGATGAGACAGGATGAAATGGTGGGGACCAGAACAAGCAAATGACTGTTCACCTTGAAGTGACCGGTGTTGGCAAAGATCTGGTATTTCCCATGGGCTGTCATGAGCGAGCCGTAACTGGATCCCCGCTGGGGCCAAGGGCAACATGGAGGCGGAAGGATGAAAGGAACATTAGATGATGGTGGTAGTGCAGGGGCTATCATTACAAGCCAATGTGCTGGGAGAGATCCAGGGTAAGAAGGGACAGGAACTCAGAGGGAGGCAGAGGAACAGCTGAGACAAGGGCTCACCAGCGACAGTGTGAGGCGACTGCCTGCACCTTTGTGATAACGCTCTGAGTTGCCAAACTGCAGTTCTTCCCAGCGAATACGCCACAACATGCTAGCCAGCTCCTTCTCCAGCATCAGCTTTCTGTAAGGACTGCACACCTCAGTTGACTGGCAAGCCGAATCCTGCCACCCCCAAGCCAACAGCAGGGTTGCAGGGGCTTCCCTGCAGCTCCTGAAGCTGCAACTGTTACACCTGAGAGACAGGGCTGGAAGATAAGGCTGCATTCTCGGCATATCTGGCACATGCCCTATGCTCACTAACAAACACAGAGACTGGGGGTGAAAGTTCTTTCCTAAAAGAAGACCAATGGAAAATTCACCTTTGATCTTAACCCCACTGAAAAACACTAGTTAGTATATCCAGTCTAGGACCAAAAGTGGAACAAACACCTAGGCTAAGCGACAACTAAAGAGAAAGGCTAGAGAGGAAGACGCTGTTGGATCTAAGAGACAACCAGCAAATTAAGAAACCTACTACCCTATCCCACATTATAGGGACCACCTGGCTTCAGCCAGAGGTTGTGTGGCAATGGGGGCAGGGAGTAGGTCAGCAAGAAACCCAGAACTCACCGGAAAATTAGGAAGCTGGAAACACCAAACATGATGAAGGTGATTCCTGTGCCCAGAGCCACAATTGCCAGGGTTGAAAGTGGAGCTGAAGGGGAAATAGAGACCCTGAGGAAGACTGTGTGCGGACTTGGCAGAATGGAGAACGGGGTGCATAGGTGCATAGACAGACTCCTTGGGAGTAGGAAGAAATGAGGAGGGAGGGATGCAGACGTAAAGGCAGAAGCACAGTTAAGAGTGGAGGGTCAGTGAGGGTGGAGGCCATGAATGGAAAGCAAAGGGAGGAAAGCTGCTCCCAGTCCCTGCACACACCCACTTTTATCACAGGATGGGTCGTCCAAGTCAAAGGCACAGGGGGGATTGTCCGAGGGAGGAGCCCCCTTCACCCAGGGAATAGGCCGTCCCGTCCACCAAATCTGCTTCTCAGCTCCCGAGTAGTGGGCTGCAGGCTGTAAGGAAGCAAAAAGCTGGGCCCACAGGCCTGCTCCCACCAGCCTCCTCCCCAGACCCCAGCTGTTTCGCTGCTTTTCTCCCCAGCCTACCACCCAGCCAGGATGCAGTGCCAGCAGAGAAAACAAATCCCTCATCTAGTAGTTTTGGTTCTGCCCCGACTGAACCCTTGAAAGCTGGATTTTGCAGGGCCACACTCTCTTCCCTGCCTCCTCCTCCATCACCTGAAAGTCCCCAGAATCCAGGTCTCCCATGGCCCAGAGGACAAAGTCAGTCTCTCGGTCATTGTTCTTGTCCATGACAACCAGCCCAGTTACACCTAAGACAGAAAAGAGTGTCCTTTCTTTGAGGTCTACCCTGGGCTCCTCTCCCACTCACTCATGCCTACGGCTCCCTCAGAGTCTACCCTTCCCCGATCTTGAGGTGTGGGCAACTCTGCCATATTCACTAACCCCCACTAAAGCTGTGGTGATCCTGACATCTGTTTCTTCTTCAGCCCACTCTATTCCTGACATCAGCCCTCAGACCCCCATTGACCCCTCTTCATTACCGTGATATCTTCGTCCCTGCATCTTTTCCACAATTCGAAGTCCATCCTCCCGGGTGCCTCCTTCCTGTATTGTCTCATTCAGGACTTCAGCATATAGCAGGATCCCATCATAGAAGCAGCCAGCGATGAGGTTCATCTGGGGGTGGCAACTTCAGCAGTACTCTCCAAATGTCCTGCAAGGCCCCTTCCCCTCTCTCTGGGGTCTCCCTTCTACCTATTCTCTCTTCTGGTTTGCTTTCTTCCCTCTTATTCCTAAAGTGCCATCCCTTCCTAACTACTCCATAGGGCAGAAGGAAAAATCCTGGACAGAAGCGGAGACCCCCCAAAGTTGGGCTTGCTCCACAGCCAAGACTTGATGCTGAGTTTGGGAGAGAAGCCCTTCCCCAAAGCTTGACCTGACTCTCAGGAAGGGAGAGATCTACTTACCAGGGAAGGGCCCAGCTCCACACCAAAGTCTTCCCGGGCTCTTATCAGCAGACGATTCTGGAATTCCTGATACTCAGGATTTGGGGGTTCTCGGTACGTGATCACCAATACAGTCTGTACCAGCAGCATATGGGGAAGAGTGAACAGGATTCAAGATAGGCATTATGGGAAGAGAAGATGCAGGACAGGGAAACTTGGTAAAATATACATGATATAAAATATACACAGGTGAGTCTGAAGGCTTTGAAAGGGCTACTAACCTCTCTCTCTCTGCGTGTGTGTGTGCGTGTGTGTGTGTGTGTGTGTGTGTGTGTTGTGTTGCATACATCTGGGAAGAGGGAGTGGCACTCCTCCTGAAAGGTAGATAGGACTGGTTCTGGGAAGGTGGAAACTGGCAAATAATAGTCAACCCCATCCCCAAAGCCCAGCCCAACATCTTCCAGAGCTCCCTTCCAGCATCCAGGTTCCTGCCAGGCCACCACAGCTCACACGGCTCCTCTGTCCCATGCTTTCTGGGTATCTGCTTATGATCAAGGACAACACCCACTAACAGCTCCTCTCTGAGATGTTAATCACTGTTAATGTCATCAGTAAAATACTAACATTGTCATTTCGGCCACTTGAACACAGTGTCTCCGCCCAGTGAATTAGAGAGATTTCAGGCCCTATGACAACTGAGGGAAATACTTTGAGACAGTGATTCCACCTGTGAAAAGCTGTGTGCTCATCCATTTAATGTGTGGAACACCTACCACAAACAGCACTGTCCTGCTTACTGAGTAATAGATGTGTCACAGGGACAAACACACAGTCACATGCCCACACACATTTCACAGGTAAGCAAATGACACATGTGATCTCAGACATGCACACATCTCACTGGCGCATGAGTCAGCATCTCTGTCTCTCACCAAAGTGCCTGCTTGGCTCCCATTAGTCTCACACATTTCCCCTTCCTGAGCTGCTGGACCTCCCAGTCTCAGGCCCTGCCTCAGGCCACATAGTCACTGAGACCAACTTCTGCTCCAACAGGAAACTGGCATCACAACTTCAAGGAAAGACTTCAGTTCAATATATTTTATGAAACATGACTTTGTGAAATGATAATTTAAAATCCGGTCATTTCTCCCAGTTTTGTTTATTCTTGTCATAGAAAGTACATGTGGACCATAGAGATACGCTGCACTAGACACATCACATATGGCCTATTATGTATCAATTCATTAGAGATAGGAAATAATAAAGTCGATTTCTAATATGCATTCATTATATTATATTAGACTGCAGCTTGCCTCAAGATATCATTATTCTTACTAGAGCATTTAGCTGCCTGATTACACACTTCTAACATTCTCCCAGTCTCAGGTAAAATTTTTTTAAAAAGAGAAGGGAATTGAGGAAAGGGTTGAAATAGTTCATTCAGTAGCACCTGTTCCAAGAATAAAATAAAGAGGTAGAATATTGTTGACAAGCAATGTAAAAAGTCAGGAAAAGGGCGAGAAAAGATCAGGTTCAACACAATTTATATTTCAATAAAGGCTGATGATAGGTTTTTAACACATTTTAAACACTAATTCTCAACACTAAGTTTGGCTAGTTTGTTAGGCTAGCAGTTATCAAACTTTTGGTCTCACAATCGCTTTATACTCTTAAAAATTATTAAGGACCCCAAATAAAGTTTGTTTATGTGGACTATATCTATCAATATTGACCATCTTAGAAATTAAAACTGATAAATTTTGAAAACGCAAGAACACACAAGCACACCTTCCATAGCTGTCCAAGTGATGACATCATCATGCCATGTAACCTCTGGAAAACTTCCCTACACAATCACAAAAGAACAAGCGTGACAAAGCAGATAAGATCTTTGTATTATTTTTAAATAGTTTTGACCCCATGGTCCCCCTAAACTGCTATGCTAGAACTGTTTTTGCTGTGGTTACTAGTTGTAGTTGTAGTACCAAAAAACAAAAATGAAAAACCAAACCAAAAAAAAAAACCCAACCTCAAACAGTTTCTGTGCTTGCTCAGGGGTTTGAGAGAAAGTGAAGGAGGATAATTGTGTCCCATTTCACAGTGGACCCCAGGTGGAAAAAACAAGCAAAGTCCGCCACAAATGGGTGCAGTGGTGGGTGGGTGCCAGGAGCACACCTAGGAAATGTGCACCCTCAGGAGGCACCTGCCTCTATCTGTGGACCCGCCCACTGAGACTTGCCCTGGCCAACTGGAGAGTGGTCAACAGTGGCCTAATGAGACAAGTGATCTCCAAGCCCTTGGTTTAGTGCTTTCTTCCATTCTTGCCGCTGGTGCTCCCTGTGTGTAACCCAATCTCATGCTGGTCATGTAGGTTGTGACCTCTGCCTGGGTTTCTAACCCTGTAGTCCTCCATTGACCAGCCTGGGCTTCTGGATCCTCAGAGCCTGGTCATTGCTTATTTAGTTCCACTCAATCTTTTCTTCCCTATCCTGGTTGATCACCTAGTTTACATTACTTGCCAGCTCTACTCCTGTCTAGGTGAATTCCTCATCCTATCCCCCTCTCCCCAACACACCCCTAATTCAATTCAGCAAATATGTGTTAAACACCTACTACATGCTAGACATATGGAATATGAAGATGAGCATGATCCCTGCCCTGGAGCAGCTAGTGGCTAAATGGGAGAGAAAAATCATATCAACATACTTGATTTCAGAGCTCTCTCCCTAGTAGCCAGTATCGATACGGCATGAGCTAAGGCCTTTCCTTGAGCATGATACCCTCCTGGAAAAGCTGTGGGCATCTGTGTCAAGGCCTCCTTTCCTCTATTGCCACCTTTTCCAGGCTGGCCTGGTCTGGGACCTCAGAGGGCCAGTGTCTCTGGGAGAAAGGCTCTGTGCTCTTTCATCCTTGCTTGGCTGTAGCTAACTGCCCAACTTCCCTCAGACTCTCCCCTGCTTCCCCATTGGAAGGTGGGGGGCGGGGCACCTTATCACCCCTCAGCCCCACCTACCCAAAGCCTTGACCTTCCCATCAGCATATTCCTGGTGCCTAGTTCCCTTCTCTTGTGTTGCAGCAAAGATTCCCTCTTTATTTCTCTGTCTGAATAATGCCCACAGTGAGGGGGAGAACTGAGAGTTAATTGATATAACTGATTATTGGATGACTAGATCCCTCCTCTAGCTACCCTTAATGCTGGGGACTCTTGGCTGGGCAATAATGCTCACAGAAGAAAGTGAGGCTTTTCTTCCACAAATAGAATACAGCCAGCAAGGCGCAGTGGCTCATGCCTGTAATCCCAGCACTTTGAGAGGCCAAGGCAAGAAGATCATTTGAGCCCAGGAGTTCGAGACCAGCCTGGGCAACATGATAAGACCCCATCTCTATAAAAAATAAAAAATTATCTGGGCATGGTGTCATATGCCTGTAGTCCCAGCAACTCGGGAGGCTGAAGTGGGAGGATTGCTTCAGCCTGGGAGGTCAAGACTGCAGTGAGCAGCTGTGATCACACCACTGCTCTCCAACTTGGGCAACAGAGCTGTCTCAAAAAGAAAAAGGATATAACCAGGAAGGTTATGGAGTGCTCCCATCTGAGAGGGTCACAGATCTTCTGCAGTCCACACCAGCTGAAGTACAATCCCCTTGTTCTTCTCTTTTCATAACACTCTATTCCTTTCCTCTTTATGTTTTAGTAACACATCACAATATGTTCCTACATTTGTATTTATTTGCTTACTTATTTATTGCCTGCCCATCCTACCAAATGTAAACTCCAAAAAGGCAGGAACAAAGTCTGTTATGCTCTCCCTTGTATACCAGTACCTAGCACAGTGACTGGACATGATAGGTGCTCAGTAAATACTAATGAAATGAGTCAGCCTTCAAATAAATCAAACACAGACTGAATAATATGGTTAGTTCTATGGTAGATGGAGTTAAGCAAAAGAGTAGGAAATTCAGTCCCACTTAGGGATTCTGGGATCATTTCCTAGAAAGGAAAATAACTGGTATGAGTCTTAAAGAATATGGAAGCATTACCCAGACAAAGGTGAGAAGATTGTTTTAGGAAAACATTATGGCATAAACAAAACCTGCCCTGCCACTGCCCATATTCAAGTGTGACAGTCACAGACTCATTCTCAGGCATGCAAACAGCTATGTCATTCTCAGTCAGACACACACTCGTCAGTCGCAACCAAATATATAATCACAGCCACATAAAACCTTATTGGAGAAGAATGGCCACCCAGGTCCAGCCCTTATACACAGCTACTTCGAACCAAATAATCCCAGAGTTTAAAGGACTTTAAGGTTATCCCATAAGCCACCTCCAATCCTTCTTGGAAAAAAGGAGGGATATGGATAAATACACGGGAAACACTTATATGCACGGTTAGTAAAAAAGTGGCGGGGGAATCGGGAAGATTCATGGGTATGATTTTGAGAGGCAGATATTTGGGATGAGGGAAGGAAGAGCATTCCAGACAAAAGGAAAAAGAACATAAAGGCACAGGGGCAGGAAGGCCCTGGGGTTGGGGGAACTCAGAGGCCTGGTAGGCTGCAGTTCTCAGCATGAGGGTACCAGGAGGTAAGACTGAAAAAGTGGTTTGAGAACAGACTGCAGAAGGTCTTAAATGTCACAATAAGGAGTCAGGATTTTATTCTCTAGAACACAAGTCACTGAAAGTTTTGAGCAGGAGTGAAATGAACAGAGTCATGCCAACATTCCCCACAAATTTTCTGAAATCTGAAATGCGTTTCTTTCCATTCCTGCTATCATCACACTAGTTCAAGCTATATCACCTCACCCCCTTCTAATCTGTTACAGTTGGTCTCACTGCCCCAGGTCTCCCCCTCTTCTAATCCTGAATTCTGTCACTACTGTATAATTATCTCCACACACACACACACACACACAAAAAGTCAAGGACCCCAAATTCAAGTCCTAGTGCCTTAAGACTTAGAGCTCTCCTTAATCTGATTCTACCTTTGCAACTTTATTTCCTGTATCTCCTTTAAGTGAACCCCTCATTCTTGTCGGGTCAGTATCTTCTTGGTCTCTCAAACACGCCCATTCCTATCTTTTTCTCTTTGCTCAGGATGCTTGGATCTCCTCTCCCACTCTGACTATGAATATGACATCTATCATTAAAGTCACAATACGGTCTCACTTCCTGTGTAAAAGCCTTCCCTAAACACAGCCCACACTGACTCTTCCTCCTCTGAGCCACTAAAGTTCTTAGTGTCTGTTCCAGGACACATAATCATATCCTTTCTCAAACTTTGTCTGACTGTACCAGAACGATGCCTCACCTCTCCATAAAGGGTGGAAGCCCACCCAAGGGCTAGGATCAGATCTCTTCCTGAACTTTTCTCCCCCACAATATAGCCTACTACTGGCACTTAGGAAAGTCAGTGTTTTAGGATTTTGGAGGCAGCCAAAGTCAGTCTTGGCAGCAAGCACACTAAGAGTCACAAAAGTAGAGAAGTAAGAAAGGGTGACACTAGACTCAGAATGCCTCTGTTCATTTTACTCCTGTGGCTCACAATTCCTGCCTGGTTCCTAGGGTTTCTTTAGGGTCTTGTGAGAGAGAATTTCCAGCGAAGCACCTCTTCCCCCTCCTCCTTCAGATTTGGCTCAAATGATACCTGAAAGGCCTCTCTGAGGGCCTGGGCCTGTTCCCGGGTGCGATTGTCCTGCCAGGGCCGGCCTGTAGCACGTGTGGGGCCTGCACGGAGACTCTCCCCAAAGACATCCAGGTAAAAGAAGACATAATCCCCATTGGTCAGATTCTCCCTCTGGGCCTGAAGCAGGATCTCATGCAGCATCTCCAGAGGGCCGCAGATATACACAACTGGGAGCAGGTACATGACAGAGGAGCACCCTGAGAAGGTATCCAGGTCCCCCACACAGCCCCCTCTCTGAATCACTGGGATGTCCCTCTTCAGCAAGAAAGAGAGTGCCCTAACCTATCAACCCCAAAGCAGATGCTCCCCAGCCCACCCCTCTTGGAGTCCACCATAAGTACCCTGGGGCCATATGGACCATCTGGCAGAAGTCAGAGCCTGTCCAGACCCCAGAGGAAGGGAGCTGTCACTCTCAAGCCCCTCCCTTTCCCAGAGCCTCCCTTGCTGCTCCCCACCCAACCGGCCTGCTCCCTGACTCTTCCCTGCCCTTCCCTGGGCTCAAAGGCACAGACAGCACAGATTTCTCAGTATGAGCTTTATCTGTCTTTCCCAAATCTGCTGAGCCCTGAGTCCGTTCATGGAGCCCTCATTATTTTTACACCACCAAGGGGTCTTGGCGCCCAGTCTGGGTGGTAGCTCTGATCACAGACAGGGCACATTTCAGAGTGGCTATCAATCACATTCACTACTCTAGGGCACAAACATTGCTCCCGAAACTTAATATCCCCTCATTTTCACATTCCACCTTGATACAAGGCTTCACCCCTCATGCTCTCTTCTTCCTTGTTTGCATCTGCCTAGGGTGTTCACAAGCTCCCATGATGAAGCCTTGGCCCTCTCACAGGTGCTCTGTCCACGTGTGCTTCTTGATCCCAACCACCACATACAGCTGCTCAATGCCTATCTCCATCTACAGTTCCCCAGTGCTGAGCTTTAGGGACACAGCGACCCTCCTCCCATGACCCTAAAATAGCCCAGGCCACACTCACTGCGCCCGTTGGCCCGGATGAAGTGGGTGGCCTGCTCGGGGCCCCCTGGCTCTCGGGCATACACCTGGTGCTGCACACTGAGGTTGCTGCCCTGCAGGGCCTCAAAGACGCCCTCGATGGTGAAGTAGTGAGGCCGGTCATCTGTGCGAGCATCCAGGTACAGCAAGGCAGCACGGGCAGTCCAATTGAAGTGCCCGTGTAGTGTCACCACAAACTCACCCAGCTTGGGAGCAGAGGGGCCAGTGCGAACCAGGGTACGATAATGGTCATTCTTAGCCGAAAAACCAGAGGCCACAGCACCCGCAGTCAGCAGGGGAAGGCGCCAGTGGGAGGCAAAGCGGGCCACAGAGGCAGCAGGGTACACGCAACCGGGACCTAACAGCAGGTCGGGGTCATGGTACAGCTTGAGGTCCACAGCGCTCAGCGGTGCCAGGTACTCAGAGCAGGCGCCTTCCAGTTCGGAGCTGACAAACCGCAGGTCCACGGGCAGTGCCCGGCCCAGAGCCTCCACAGCTAGTGCCACAGCGGGTCCCACCCGTGGCCAGGCCCAGGCATAGCTCAGGTTGTGTTCTGGCAGCACCACCGCCAGCGTCAGGTTCCGCGCCCCGGGAGGACGCACCCCACCTGCCAGGGCTGCCACCAACAGCAGAAGTGATGGCAGCGCCATGGGGATAAAGCAGCAGCCCCACCGCCCCCAGAACTTGGGGCTGCTCTGGCCTACAGGGGAGACGCGAGCACCCCCCAGCCTGGAGCCTGGGGAAGAGGGCCAGGAAGAGGAGGAGTAGGCTAGGTAGGCTGGGATGCAGAAGGTGCTGGGGGCCGGGGAGAGGAGGGGGAGATGGGAGGAAGGCGGGGGGCGGGCAAGGAGTGGGCTACCAGCCTAGGGCAAGGACTGAGGACTGAGAACGGGGTGGCAGGGGGAGGGAGGGACCGAGGGGGCCTGCGGCCAGGATGGGGACAGTGCGAGGTGAAGAAGCCTGATAAATCTAAAGCTGAGAAGGAAAAGGGGATCTGGGACTGGGATGGGGTGGGGGTGGGGGGCGGGTGGTACAAAGAAACGGCCTGGGGGAACCTCACAGCTGAAAGGGCCGGGAGGGCAGGAGGGCGCTGCGCCACATAGGACCAAGGGGGTAAGGTGGGAGGGTGCCCGCGCCGCGGAAGGACTGGGATCATGGGCAGGCGGGGAGCGAAGCGAGGCCTGGGCCGGAGGGCAGGGGAAGGCAGGGGTAAATCTCCCTGTGAAGGATTCTCCCGGAGCTCCTGCTTGGACTAACGGGCCCGGGCGCTGGTCCCATCCGGAGCTACGGCGGCCCCGCCCGTGTCCCCGCTCCTCTCTGCTCCGCTTCTCCTGGGCCCTGGCGGCCGGCGCTGCCCGGCGCTTCCTCCCGCCCCCCGCCTGGGCCCCGCGCGCGCCGCTCGTCCGGGTCAGGTCGCCTCGGCCCGGCCCGTCTCCGCTCGCTGCGCCGGCGGCCGAGTGCGACTCCCCCGGGCAGGCCGCCCGCCCCCGCCCCTCCCCCGCTGCCTCTCCTCCTCCCTCCCGGCCCCACCCTCCGGCGCCGGCTGCCTTCCCCCACCCCCCACCCGGGCGCTCGGGACCGCCAGGTCCCAAACCCACCCCGGTGAGCACTTGGGGGCTCCGCACCAAGGCCTCGCCGGCCAGCAGGGTTCCCGGGCGCTCCCTCACTCTCAGGGCCTACCCTGGTCTCCCCCACGCCCCTGGTCCCCCTGCCGCCCCTCCTTCCATTTCCATCTCACACACGCCAGCGACCCCAGGGTTTGTCCTCTCCCCCTCGCTCAGCCCGTTCTTCTTGGGTCTCCCCTCTGAACTCCCTGAGTCCCTCAGTGGTTCCAGTCTCCAGGAAGCAGTCGAGGATCCCCAGACGTGTGGTATCCTCACCAGCCCCCTCACCTAGCAAACCATAGCGCCCTCCCGACGGCAGTGCGGCTTACTCCACCGCGGACCATGCCCGCTCCCTGGACGGGCCCCTCCAGCAGCCAGGGGCCCCTGCTGTACACTTCCCACCAGTCCTTAGAAAGTCCACGAGGCTCCTTCTTGCTTGGGACTCAACTCTCGGCCCCCCGCTGTCTCCATGCCCCCTGCCCTCCTCGTGTCCTCAGAGGCCCACCGCAGCCCGCCCGGCTTCCTCCGCACCATCTGCTCAGTCAGGGCCTCGATTTTCTTTTGTCTCCTGCACAGCGCAGGCTGGCGCCTGGGGAAAGCCTGTAACGGACCGGCGGGACACTCCCCGCAGTGGAAGCCCATCCACGCTCTCCTGGGGTTCCACCTTGCTCCCAGCTTCCCTTAGGAAGCTCTCCCTAGGGCCCTCATATCTGGAGTGCCAATCTGACCCCAAGAACAGCTTGTGAGGGATGATCTCATGGTGGCTGAGAGGGACTGCTATGGGACCTTGGGGATTTTTCTCCAACTGTCATAAAGGACATGCACATAAGCCCATTCTCTGCCCGCGCTAAGAGCCACGGTTTCTCTCCCCCCTTCAAGCTATTTCTCCAGAAATCACAAGCTAAGAGCGCTCCTGGAGCCCTGGAGTGGGGTGGGAGTGTATAGGGCGAGGACGGGCATGGTTTCCCTGAGATGAAGGCGACACCTAGTGGTTTGGTGGGGGAAATTAAGGACAATGCCACTTTATCCTTAGGCACGATATTTATTGAACACCGGCTGCCTAGCACAAGCTGTACCTGTGAATACAAAGAAAGCCGAATGATACAGCCCTTACCTTTGAGGAACATGCATTTGCAATCCCTGGGGCACAGAGGCCAAGAGCAGGCCGTCCCTAACAATGTTCTTGCCTCAAGCCCAGTAGAGATGGAAGCCTCAGGACAGCTCCTTCTTTAACGCAGAGGGGTTGGTAACTCTAGTTCCAGGCTCCCAATACTGCAGTGAAAAGGAATTTTGTCCTATCTGGCCAAGGCAAAAAAAAAAAAAAGGAACAGTCAAAAGAATGACGAGACAACATGAGAAATACTTTAGACCAAGTCAACCAAATAGAATAGTTGATTTTTAAGCAACTACACATTGTTTTATGAGACAAGCAAATCCAAAATGACAAAATTCCTGAAAGAATTACAGAATGGCAGGGCTAAGAGGATCATATAAATATATTGTTTAGCCCTCTCATTTAAAGATAATTGAAAACCAAATCCCAGAGAGGAAGGTCGCAGTGTCCTTACTTGCTCCTCTCCCCCAATCCCACATGGCTTTTTAGTTGCAAAAGAGAGATTAAAATGCAGGTTTCATGGTCTCCAAGGAGAGGCTCTTTATAGATATTTTGCTGACTCATGGAACTTACTGTAGAAAGCTGTGCTTACAATATAATAGCCACCAAACCCAGGCAAGTCTCTCTGGAACACCTGCAGCCCTCAGTGAGGATCAGCCACCACTGTCACCCAGACTCCTACGCAAGTACAAGTGCATCATATGTCATTATTCTGAACATTAAGGACTATTCTTCATTATGTTAGGGATTAAACATTCAAGCATCTTGCCTTTCCCTTTTCCTCCCAGTTGGCCAGTTAACTAGAAAGTAGGAAGGGGCCAGGCACGGTGGCTCTTGCCTGTAATGCCTATAATCTCTATTAAAAACCAAACAAATCAATCAGATATGGTGGCACGAACCTGTGGTCCCAGCTACTTGGGAGGCTGAGGTGGGGGGATCGCTTGATCCCAGAGGATAGAGGCAGCCTGGGTGACAGCAAGACCCTGTCTCAAAAAAAAAAAAAAAAAAAAAGGAAGTGGAAGGAGCCTGGTGCAGTGGCTCACGCCTGTAATCCCAGCACTTTAGGAGGCCAAGGTAGGAGGATTGTTTGAGGTCAGGAGTTCGAGACTAGGCTGGCCAACAAGGTGAAATCTCGTCTCTACTAAAAACACAAAAATTAGCTGGGCGTGGTGGTGGGCACCTGTAATCCCAGCTACTTGGGAGGCTGGGGCAGGAAAACCGCTTGAATCTGGGAGGCGGACATTGCAGTGAGCAGAGATCGCGCCACTGTGCGACAGAGCAAGACTCCATCTCAAAAGAAAAAAGAAAGAAAGAAAGGAAAAGAAAACATAAGTAAAAACTAAAAATAAAATTTAAAAGACAAAAGGGAAGTGGGAAGGAGTGGGGAGATAAAAGATAAATCCCCTAATGAGGTTTTTTATTAACACACAGTGAAAGGCTTTTGGTGTTTATTTTTTCATGTTTGAGGGAAAGCTGAAAATATTAAATAAATGAGAACTTCGGTTATGTATATATCCCACTATCCAAGCTATCACTGCTGTCATTGATATGGGCAATAATATTTTGGCTGTATTTGGTGACCATGCTGCAATACATAGAAAACCTAGGAAATCTAGATTCTACTGGCCTAAGCAGCAACCAGCTAGGGTCCAACTTTCTCTTTGTAGCACTGTCATGGCCTTCTTCTAATCCACAAACAGATACCAGCTATAATTTCTTCTGGATAGGGTCAATCAACACCCTCTTTCTTTTTCTTTTTTTTTTTTTCTTTTTTTGAGACAGAGTCTCACTCTGTTACTCAGGCTGGAATGTAGTGGCGCAATCTCGGCTCACTGCAACCTCCATCTCCCAGGTTCAAGTGATTCTCCTGCCTCAGCCTTCCAAGTAGCTGGGATTACAGGCGCCCGCCACCATGCCCAGCTAATTTTTGTTTTTAGTAGAGACAGCGTTTCACCATGTTGGCCAGCTGGTCTCGAACTCCTGACCTCAAGTGATCCACTCGCCTCAGATTCCCAAAGTGCTGGGATTACAGGCGTAAGCCACCACGCCCGGCCCCAAACACCTTATTTCTGATCCAGAACTAAACTGCAGAGCATCAAATTGGCCAGCTGCTAGAATCTCCTATGGTTTCCAAGCTGCCCTGTCCCTTCTTCAAAAGAAATCCTAATCCTGGTTACACTCAGGCCAAAGGTGCCTCAAGACCCTAGTTGAGCTCTGCAACCACCATGGGATTCGGGCTCATGCTAATTTTCGTGATAGGCTCTGATGCCCCAAACTGACAGCATTAAACGTTTTATAACAAACCTATTTGTGCAGCTGAATCTGGATCCTCAGGTTTGTTCTACACCAGATCATGCCTCCCAGGCCTACAGAATTCCAGAAAACAAAATATCTTCTCTGCTGACCTGACTAGCAGAAATGGGCTTTGACTCCATGCAATTGTCCCCTGCACACAGACGGACAGGTCCAAGAGAACCTGCCAACAGAGGGCAGAGAACAGCCATAGAAAGGTAGATCAAATAAGGCAGGAAAGATACACTTCACAACACATCTCAATAGAAAAGGAGAAAGTAATGTAGAAAAAGAAATGTAGCAAAGTATATAGAAAGCAAATAGAGACTTTACTCAAATTCTGCATTCTTTATTTTAGCCCCATAAGGGAGAGACAGAATCCTGAAATTAGGTCAAACCTCCAGTTCCCCTCCAACTCCTACTTCCCTCCCAGCCACGCAGCAGTGCACAGTATGGTTGTAGATCTAAGATCCAGTTCATCTTCTCACAGATATTCAACAGCCTCAAAGGGCTGCTGTGGGCCAGGCATGGTGACTCATGCCTGTAATCCCAGCACTTTGGGAGGCCAAGGCAGGCAGATCTCCTGAGGTAAGGAGTTCAAGATCAGCCTGGCCAACATGGCAAAACCCCATCTCTACTAAAAATACAAAAATTACCTGGGCGTGGTGGCAGGCACCTGTAATCCCAGCTACTCAGGAGGCTGAGGTAGGAGAATCGCTTGAATCTGGGAGGTGGAGGTTGCAGTGAGCCGAGACTGCACCTCTGCACTCCAGCCTGGGGGAAAGAGTGAGTCTCCATCTCAAAAAAAAAGGGGGCAGCGGTGGGCGCTGCTGTGATTGTTTAAAGGGTCAAGGGTTTTTACTTTGAATTCATATACATCTTTGTAAGTTCAAAATATTTTCTTTTTTATTTTTTTTAATTTATTATTTAAAAAAAAAAATTTTTTTTTTTGACAGAGTCTTACACTGTCGCCCAGGCTACAGTGCAGTGGCTCATTCTCGGCTCACTGCAAGCTCCGCCTCCCGGGTTAATACCATTCTCTTGCCTCAGCCTCCCGAGTAGCTGGAACTACAGGCGCCCGCCACCACGCCCGGCTAATTTTTTTTTTTGTATTTTTAGTAGAGACGGGGTTTCACCATGTTTGCCAGGATGGTCTTGATCTCCTGACCTCGTGATCTGCCCACCTCGGCCTCCCAAAGTGCTGGGATTACAGGCGTGAGCCACCACGCCCAGCCCAAAATGTTTTCAAATCAGATCTCAGTTTCCAACTTACCTGAATAGATATATGTTTTTTAGACAAACAGGTATCATATTCTAAGGGCCAGAAATATCAGCTTTGTGAAAATACAGTCCAAACAAGTCATTTTCCCATGGAAATTGTTTCATAGATGGCCAAAGATTCCTAAGAGAGAAATTTAAGAATTGTCAGGAGAAGCAACCACATACATTTATTTCCTTGATGATTCAAGCTCCACGTGAACCATATTTCACCTGTCTGCTCCATCTGGGCCTGGACCAGCACCTCTGTGAGTGCCCAGGAAGGCCCCAGTTCTTCTCTGCCCTCTCACACTTGGCCCAAGAATCTTCCTAGGTACATAGATAGTTTCCCTATTTTCCTATTACCACCCTTCATCATTATTACCAACCCCAGTAGTTATTTACCACCCTTTGGGAGCATCCGATAGCATGAAGTCTCAAATATAATATTCCCTGAAATAATCTTACCCACTCAACTTGAAATTCCACTTCTTCACAAAATCTTTCACTGAGGAAAAAGTGGCAAGAGGCAAGTGGCAAGAGGGAAAGGTGTCCCCTTGCCTTTTAAGTCCTGCTAACTCTACAAATATCTGGCATAAAAAGAGGCAAAGGAAACATGGTTATCACTGCTTCTAGAGACTGGAAATGCACTAGTCACTATTTTAATCTTCTGCTCTGCTTAGAATTTTCTACAGAAGCCAAAGACTGGGAAGAAGAGGAGAAATCTGAAACAAAAATGTACAAAACTGTACTGCAATATGTCATGAAGAACCAAGAGAAGCTAAGCAGTGGCGATGTAAGATTGGTGGGCAGACAGACTGAAAGCAAGAAGAACCGTGAAGAGGTTCCTGGAGAAACCCAAGCCTGAAGTGTCTAATCTAGGATGATGGGATAGTAATGGAGAGAGGAACAAATCTGAGGTAATCTGAGGGAAGAAACAACAGAATTTGGTGGCCGACTGGATATACAAGACGAAAAACAGTCAAAGGCAGGGGTTGCAAAGGCAAAGGTGGTCATGGGCCAGGCAGGAAATATGAATGGGAGAAGCAGCTAGGTGGAGACTGGCAAGCCGTGAACCCCGGCGCCATCTAAAGTGGATGCTGACCCTGGGATGGAGCCCAGAGTAGCCAGTTCTTGCTCTGCCTTCTCTCTGGGTCTCTCCAGTCTCACTTCCCTCCAGTCCAGCCTCCACGATGTGTTCAGGTGTCAAAGCGACCTTTTGAAACAAAAACCTAATTATGTCACATCACTGCTTAAAATCTTTAAATGGTCCCCCTTGGAGGCTATGTTTTTCACACTGTTATTTTTAGCAGCAAAACCATTCCTTCAAATGAAAATGTACATGTAAAACAGAAAAAAAAAAAAAAAAAAGCCCAGCTGCTCCAGATGAAACAGTGGGGGTGGGCCCAGAAACCCCTCGCCTTCACCTCATTCTCAAACAGAACCCCTGAGGCACCTTCAGGGAACCTCTGCGCAGCAGCCTTCAAACAGTAGTAGCACAAAAAGGCTTTCCAAGGACTATGTTTGTCCAGATGGCTTTAAGGGAATCCATCTCCAGACCCTGAACTTCCTTATGTACTCAGTCCCAAAACTGTTCTGCCTGAGAATGACCTGTGCTCACAACAGTTGTGCTGACAACAACCCTCCCAGTTTACAACAGAAAGGCATGTCCCTACCCCAAGCCAAATTTTATTATGATGAATTATTTTAGGGTGTAAAAACCTTTGGAGCACCAAGAAAAAGGATATATAAATCAAGTATTGGTCTGGGGAAACTTGTGAAGGTGAATCAAAGTGTCTTAAAGGAATGGGGCTTCCTGTCTTTCCCCACCATATCCATATTCTGTGAAGAGTAAAGCTTGGCATTAGAAATGGGGTGTTTTCAGCTGAGAGGGGTGGTGTGTGCCTGTAGTTTCAGCTACTCGGAAGACTAAGGCAGGAGGATCTGATGAGACTGGGAGTTCAAATTCAGCCTGGGCAACATAGTGAGACCCTGTCTTCTATTTTAAAAATATATAGAGATAGGGCAGGGCACGGTGGCTCACACCTGTAATCCCAGCACTTTGGGAGGCCGAGGCGGGTGGATCACGAGATCAGGAGTTCAAGACCAGCTTGGCCAAGAGACCAGCCTGGCCAATATGGTGAAACCCCATCTCTACTAAAAATACAAAAATTACCCAGGTGTGGTGTCAGGCGCCTGTAATCCCAGCTACTTGAGAGGCTGAGGGAGGAGGAGAATCACTTGAACCCAAGAGGCGGAGGTTGCAGTGAGCCGAAATAGTGCCATTGCACTCCAGCCTGGGCGACAAGAGCAAAACTCTGTCTCTAAATAAATAAATAAACACCCCTATCTCTCATCACTTACGAAAGTCAACTCAAAATGGATTAAAGACTTAAATGTAAGGACTGAAAACCATGAAAGCATTAGAAAAAAATTCAGGAAAAACCCTTCATGACATTGGACTGGGCACAGGCAACCAAAGCAAAAATAGACAAACAGGATTGCATCAAATTAAAAAGCTTCTTCACAGCAAAGGAGACAGTCAACAAAATGAAGAGGCAAGTTACAGAATGGAAGACAATATTTGCAAACTATGCATCTAAGGGGTTAATACCTAGACTATATAAGGAACTCAACAATTCAATAGCAAAAAAAAATCCCAAATAATATGATTTTTAAATGGGCAAAATAGACATTTCTCAAAAGAAGACATACAAATGGCCAACAGGTATATGAAAAAATGCTCAATATCACTAATCATCAGGGAAATGCAAATCAAAACCTCAATGAGATATCATCTCATCCCAGTTGGAATGGCTATTATCAAAAAGACAAAAATTAACAAACGCTCATGAGGATGCGGAGAAAGGAGAACTTTTATACTAGTGGGAACATAAATTAGTATCGCCATAATGAAAAACAGTATAGAGGTTTCTCAAAAAATTAAAAATAGAACTACCATATTATCCAGTAATCCCACTAGTGGGTATTTATGCAAAGGAAATGAAATCAGTATGTTGAAGAAATGTCTGCACTTCCATGTTTATTGCAGCTCTATTCACAGTAGCCAAGATATGGAATCAACCCAAGTGTCCATCAACAGATGAATGATAAAGATAATGTGGTATATTTACACAGTGGAATACTATTCAGCCATAAAAAAGAATGAATTCCTGTCATTTGCAGCAGCATAGATGAGCCTGGAGGACATTATACCACAGGATCTCACTCATATGTGGAATCTAAAAAAAAAAACAAAAACTGATCTCTTAGAAGTACAGAGTAGAATAATTGTTACCAGAGGTTGGGAAGCATAGGCAGGAGGGGTAGATGGGGTGAGGTGGGCCAACAAAGTTACAGATAGACAGGAGGAGTAAGTTCCAGTGTTCCCTTGCACAGTAGGGTGACTTTGGTTAACAATATTATTGTATTTTTCAAAATAGCTAGAAGAGAGGATTTTGAATGTTCTTACCACAAAGAAATGATAAATTTTTGAGATACTAATTGTCTTAATTTGATAATTACACACTATACATGTATCCATCACATTGTATTTCATAAGTATGTATAATTATTGTCAATTAAAAATAAAATAAAAAGAGAAAATTAAACTGAAAAGTTTTACAAGCAGAAAAATACTTCAGCTACGTTGAATAAATGAATAAATGAATAAAAAAATTAAGGGCCAGGCGCAGTGGCTCACGCCTGTAATCCCAGCACTTTGGGAGGCCGAGGTGGGTGGATTACCTGAGGTTGGGAGTTAGAGACCAGCCCGACCAACATGGAGAAATCTCGTCTCTACTAATAATACAAAAATTAGCCAGGAATGGTGGCACATGCCTGTAATCCCAGCTACTTGGGAGGCTGAGACACGAGAATCGCTTGAACCGGGGAGGGGGAGGTTGCAGTGAGCCGAGATCACACCATTGCACTCCAGCCTGGGCAACAAGAGCAAAACTCAGTCTCAAAAAAAAAAAAAAATTAAGTAACTTATTTCATAGTTGGTGTACTTTATTCAATAAAATAGTTAAAAGTCTGTTTTATCTGGCCTGGCGTGGTGGCTCACACCTGTAATTCCAGCACTTTGGGAGGCCAAGGAGGGTGGATCACCTGAGGTCAGGAGTTTGAGACCAGCCTGACCAACATGGAGAAACCCCGTCTCTACTAAAAATGCAAAAATTAGCCAGGCGCGATGGCACGCGCCTGTGATCCCAGCTACTTGGGAGACTGAGCAGGAGAATCATTTGATTCCAGGAGGCGGAGATTGCAGTGAGCCGAGGTCGTGCCACTGCACTCCAGCCTGGGCAACAGAGCGAGACTCCGTCTCAAAAAACAAAAACAAAAACAAAAAACCTTGTAATAATAAAGTTAGATTTCAATTTAAAATTGTGTGAGTGTTTTATTTTAAGGAGCTCATGAACAAAAATATTTGAGCTCTGCAGCTCAAAATAACACTTTGAAAATCAGTGACTAAACAATGACTCTTGATGCTACCAAACCTAAATCTTCCTTCTAATAATTATTTTCTAACGGCACCTTTACTAACTTAAAATAAAATGCATAGATAATACAACCTATCTCTACACATAATTTCAAAACATCAATAAAATTTCCTACCTGTAATATAGAAGAGAAATAATAGCCGGGCATAGTGGCAGGCGCCTGTAATCTCAGCTACTCTGGAGGCTGAGGCACAAGAATCCCTGGAACCCGGGAGGGGGAGGTTGCAGTGAGCCGAGATCACACCACTGCACTCCAGCCTGGGCAACAGAGTGAGACTCTATCTCAAAAAAAAAAAAAAAAAAAAACGAGAGAAATAAAAGACAATAACTTATTTTAAAAACAGGTATTTCAATATGTAAATGGTTGGATATAACTGTGATAGAACACCAAAGGAGGCACTCAGCTAATTGTAATTAGATGCTTCCATCTAATTACAGGGAATGAATAAATTTTGATTTAAGAGATCTGAAGCCACTCCATAAAGAAAGATACTGGATTAAACACCAGTGTTAGGATAAGCAATAACAGAACAGATGTATTTATATATATATTTATATATAACACCCTACACAACTGTTTGGTGGAATATTTGAAGACTGTGCAGAACTCAGGATATCTAAATCATGCCGAATTCAGGACATTTATTTGACACCTAAAAGGTATTGCCAGTGTCAAGGTACAAGGATTAACAACCAAAACAAGGTGAAATTCCTTCTCTCATGGAATACATTCTTAATTATGTGGAACTGTCCTCACATTGCAGAGTCTAACATCTGCGGCCTCCAACTACTACAATGCCAGTAGCACCCACTCTCATCACTATAGCAACCAAGAAAATGCCCCTTCCCCTCCACCCCCTCCTGCCTGCCCCCCCACCCCCTCCCCCCACCCCCACTATCTCCTGCGCACCCACCACGGACCAAAATGCCCCTCCAGGAAAAGTACTACTGCTGTTCAGAGCCACTAGCCTGCAGGATGGAGAACAAGAATCTCAGTCCACCAGGTGGTCCTGGCTCCATCTTCCTCTCCAGCCTCCTCTGCAGCCACATATGCCTTCTAAACATATAGAGCTATCTATAGTCCTCTAAGTGGGTCATGTTATTCTATGCCCATGGGTTTTCTGTCAGCCTGAAATGTTTTCTCTTCCCTTGAGTTCTAATTAGTCTTTTTTGAGGCTTACTCAGGCCACTTTTCAATTTAATTTAATACATTTGTTTTAAAGTAGGTACTTTCTGCCCCATTAGATTGTGTATTCCATGAGAAGGAATTTTATCGTCCTTAATCTTTGTACCTTACATTGGCAGTATATTTTAGAATTCAAATAAATGTTTTCTCAATGGATATATGAGTATGGATGAAGGGATTCACTTTATTTTTATTTATTTGGTCATATTTTGAGACAGAGTCTCACTCTGTTACCCAGGCTGGAGTGCAGTGGCGCCATCTTGGCTCACTGCAACCTCCATCCCCCGAGACTCAATCAATCCTCCCACTTCAGCCTCCCAAATAGCTGGGACCACAGATGCACACCACCACGCCTGGTTGTTTTTTGTTTGTTTGTTTGTTTGTTTTGTATTTTTGGTAGAGATGGAGTTTCACCATGTTGCCCAGGCTGATCTCAAACTGCTGAGCTCAAGTGATCCACCCTCCTCATCCTCCCAAAGTGCTGGGATCACAGGTGTGAGCCACCGTGCCCAGCCAGGGATTCACTTTAAAAGAAAAAGAAATTCCTCTGAGACTGCAGGGAAAGGTGGAACAATGGATTCAGGGATAGATTTCGTGACGGATAAATTTAACTTATCTGTTGAGCATTGAGCTTGGTCAGGTATAAACATAACCTGCCACCCATCAGTCTTCATCTGTGCCATGACAAATGTCTCCTTTGTACCTCTTCACAACATCATGGTCAGAGTCCATAACACTCTGCTCCCTTTTGGTTATTTAAAGACTCAGTCCGATATGGCTTAAAACTCCAGTCTCAGGTCCAATGCAGAACTCATCTTAAGCCATGGCTTAAGGAACCTGCGGTGGAGAGAAGAATATGATCCCTTCTATTGATTCTGCTTCTCCTCTTCTAGTTCTCTGGAAGGTTCTCTAGAAGGGTTTTAGCTCCTTGGTGGTTGAGAACTAGGAGGAGGGCAGGGAGGAAAAGAACAACTCTCTTTTTATTTAACAAGGTAGTTATCACAAACCACTGTTTGCTGACAGACCATGCCAACCTGTTGTTTGGCAGATGTCAAAATGCTATCTTTCTTGCACATGGTGGCTCATGCCTGTAAGCCCAAGGCATTGGAAGGCTGAGGCAGGAGGATCACTTGAGCCCAGGAGTTTGAGACCAGCCTGGGCAACGTAGAGAGACCCTGTCTCTAAGAAAATTTTTTTTTAATTAGCCGAGTGTGGTGGCACATAACCTGCAGTCCCAGATACTCAGAAGGCTGAGGCAGGAGGATCACTTGTGCCCAAGAGATTCAGGCTGCAATAAGCCATGATCACAACACTATACCCCAGCCTAGGCAACAGACCCCATCTTAAAAAAAAAGATGCTGGCTCTCTTATGAGACAGTTATGTGAGTTCTTTAGAAGGTCCTACTGGGCTTCTCCACTGAGTTGTGCCCTAATGCAGAGAATCCTGATCCAAGCCATCTCTTTAACCCTCCTAACTTCTGTTCAGTGGCAGCCTTTTGGATGGGTTACCAGCATGATGGCTCAAGCCCGGCGATCTTCCTCAGTGTCCCTTTGATCACAGAAACTCACATACCCTTGCTAAGCCAAACAGAATGAATGCAGACTATTCCACTACTATCCCCTTACTCTGCCCTTCCTCCTTTCTCTAATTGCCTTTCCTCTTCTCAGACAGGTGCGGAGCTGAACAAATCCACTGTCTAAACAGATAGTTTAACCAAGGAATGAGAAATCAATCTCTCTTTCATGTAGATCTCTTTCATACTCCCTTGCTTACTTTAAGGGGGGAAAGGAGGGAAAAGTACTCCCTGCTAGGCTCATGACAGCCTCCCTTCAGTCATCTTTTATCTTATATAGCCTGGGAATGGAGGTGGGGTGGTAAGGTATGGGTTGGCTGGAAGTTGCAGGGCCACTTCTGCTACCTCTTTGTAAGCCCTGGAGAGGAGCTCTGATCCAATTATTAGCAACTCTCTCTAGAACGTGCAGTATTTAGTCCTCTTTGTCCCAGCTTTGGACCCTAGTCACCAATTCCAGGGCAATAGAAAAAAACCTTACTCAACATCCTCTATAATATATTGAAATGAAGGGAAGGTTATATGAAATAAGGAGCTCAACTGCATTCCTCAATGGGGAAGCAAAGTCATCTTTTGAGTGACAGAAGGAACCAGGAGTTTGAAAGTTCAGGCAGAATAAAGAAGACAGAGATAGACTGGAGATAGAACATCAGATGAAAGCCATGTATACTCTCTTTTCCCCATTAAAATATAAAAAGCACATATACATATTATTCCACAACATTTTACATATCATTTCAGGTGCACGTGGATCTAGGAGCTAAAGGATCCCAGATTAACAAGCCTTGGGCTTAAGAGAAAGCAAACAGGAAGGCGAATGTGCATTATTTGTGCATTCGAGAGGAGGGAGTGGGTATGTAGGCAGGCAAAGCCAATGCACAAAAGGAAGGCTGGACATTTAGGGACTTGCATCCACCCAGAAGCCATCCATGTCAGACACCAGTTTGACATGTCATATTATATTCCAAAGTATTCTGACTGCTTGAACACTTTTGTATATTCAGCTTATTTTTCAGTATAATGTTGTGATACATCCTTCTACAGAGTTAATATGATTAATAATTGAGGGACTTTAGAGAAGGGGCCAGAAATTTAATTATGCTTTAAAACGTAGCTTTTGGACTGGAAACTGTTAACAGCGAATACCTCCCTGAAGGGGAACAAGGTATCTAAAGGGCAAGATGAAAGAGACAGTTTTTTCATTATCTATCATTTTGTATACCTTTTTTTGACACAGAATTTCGCTCTTGTTGCCCAGGCTGTAGAACAATGGCATGATCTTGGCTCACTGCAACCTCTGTCTCCCGGGTTCAAGTGATTCTCCTGCCTCAGCCTCCCGAGTAGCTGGGATTACAGGCATGCGCCACCACGCCCGGCCAATTTTTTTGTATTTTTAGTAGAGACGGGGTTTCTCCATGTTGATCAGGCTGGTCTCAAACTCCCGACCTCAGGTGATCTGCCCACCTCGGCTTCCCAAAGCGCTGGGATTACAGGCATGAGCCACCGCGCCTGGCCCATTTTGTATAGCTTTAATTTTGTAACAGGTGTGCAAGTATGACCTATTCAAAATTTTTAATTAAAAATGAATCTTAATCATAAACAAGAAAGCATAAAAATATGTCATTGATATGGGGTGCTTGATATCTTGAATGTTTTAAAGGATGGCAATGGGACCTCAAAGGGAAAGATGGGATTTCTTTTAATAGATAAACACACATGGTGAATCCCTCATAGCTGTAGCAAGGAGATTAAAAACATCAAAGGGCAGAACGGTAACATCAGAGCTAAGAAGGCTTTTCTGAAAACCAGTCATTTGGAACCAAAAGATAAAGTATTACAAAAAGTATAATCCAAGATCAGTAGGTCTGAAGAAGAAGAGTTAGAACTAGAACATCTTACAAGAAACAAGTACCAGGCTGGGCGCGTTGGCTCACACCTGTAATCCTAGCACTTTGGGAGGCCAAGATGGAAGGATCATTTGAGGCCAAAGTTTGAAACCAGCCTGGTCAACATAGCAAGACCCTATCTCTCTCTCTATATATATAAAAATAAATAAATGAAAGAAACAAGTACAAAAAAAAAAAAAACCACAAAACATGATTTAGGCCTGGCACAGTGGCTCACGCCTGTAATCCCAGCACTTTGGGAGGCTGAGGAGGGTGGATCACGAGGTCAGGAGATCGAGACCATCCTGGCTAACATAGTGAAACCCCATCTCTACTAAAAATACAAAAAATTAGCCAGGCATGGTGGTGGGCACCTGTAGTCCCAGCTACTGGGGAGGCTGAGGCAGGAGAAAGGTGTGAACCTGGGAGGCGGAGCTTGCAGTGAGCCAAGATCATGCCACCGCACTCCAGCCTGGGTGACAGAGCAAGACTCTGTCTCAAAAAAAAAAAAAAAAAAAAGAAAAACACCTGATTTAGATAACTTCATGTATAATGTCATAAAAACAAAGCTAAGATTGGTTGGGGTATATCTGGCCCAAGAATAAATTCAATTATTTTGATTTTCCACAAAGCAAATTTTTTTTTTTTTTTTGAGACAGAGTCTCACTCTGTCACCCAGGCTGGAGTGCAGTAGTGCCAGCTCGGCTCACTGGACGCTCCACCTCCCAGGTTCAAGCGATTCTCCTGCCTCAGCCTCCTGAGTAGCTGGGACTACAGTCGCCCGCCACCACGTCCGGCTAATTTTTTGTATTTTTAGTGGAGACGAGGTTTCACCGTGTTAGCCAGGATGGTCTCGATCTCCTGACCTCATGATCTGCTCACCTTGGCCTCCCAAAGTGCTGGGATTACAGGCGTGAACCACCGCGCCTGGCCCACAAAGCAAATCTTGATCAAACACTAGACAAGATGAACTGTAGGGCTGACTTAGACTCTTCCTTGAGGGCCAAGGATGACACTTTGAAAATAAAGAAATAAAATATTTATTTAGATGAGAATAGGGGGCCAGATGCGGTTGCTCATGCCTGTAATCCCAACAATTTGGGAGGCCGAGGGAGGTAGATCACCTGAGGTTAGGAGTTCAAGACCAGCCTAGCCAACATAATGAAACCCTGTCTCTACTGAAAATACAAAAATTAGCCAGGCATGGTGCAGACGCCCGTAATTCCAGCTACTCGGGAGGCTGAGGGCAGGAGAATTGATTGAACCCAGGAGGTGAAGGTTGCAGTGAACCGAGATCATACCACTGCGCCCCAGCCTGGATGACACAGCAAGACTCCATCTAAAAAAAAAAAAGAAGAAGAAGGAGAAGGAGAATAGGCCAAAAACAACAGGCATGATCTATATGACTGCAAAGGTTCCACATGAGTAGTCGTCATTGTCCTAAACACCTGCTGGGTCACCAAGAGAGAAAAACAGAGGAGTAATTTGATGCCAGCCTCTCCCACCAGTGACAGCTAAGAACACCTCCCACTACTGAGGGTAGCTAAACTGTCTAACAAAAAGGTCAAAGAAGTTTGCCTATCATCTGTGATTCAGAGGAAAACAAGAAAAGAGCATTACTGTTTTTTTCTTTCAAATCTAGGCCTTAAGCTAACCTGTTAGAGGTCAAATAAACAGGCTCCAAAATCCCCAGATTAAGACCTATTTGCAGTAACAATAAATGTAAAAGCACCTTGTATATTGTAAAGCATTATATAAATGTCCATTATTATGGTAATTATTAGGGGTCCGTCATATCCAAAATTGAACTACATCCCACCATCAGCAGTTTGGGACCATATTCTGGAAGAGTAAAGCAAAAATTTTTTTAAAAGAGTTTGCTTGTTTTTACACTGTGTAAAGGTTTTCAAATTTTTCATCTCTTCATTGAAAAGTCTAATAAGAAGAGCTGATCAGTAGTATATGACCAAAAAAGAGAAACTGTTCAACTTAGTTCAATATCCTTAAGAAGTGTACTAACTAGGAAGAGACAAACGCAAGCTTATGTGGAAGCGTGTGTAGTAAATGGTGGCGCTCCTTCCCATTCCCTCCACAGATGGCTTCCTGCTGAGCTCAGTCAGGGAGGCACTGGCAGAAAACTGAACGAGAGAAGCCAGACTATCTCTTCCCCTTCTCTCCCAGCCTTGGCCAGCATCTGGACAGGCACTCTTTGGCCCCAGCTTCCCTAGAACAGGCCCCCAAAGTTCCGGCTTCTAAGTTACCCTGCCCCTTGCACTTCCCCTCCTTCCCACAGCCTAGGGAGAATAGAAGGTTCGGTTGCTAATCTTCCCCTGCATTGCCTCACCTTCCCTTGAAAGGCTTCTCAGCTCTTCCACCATATTCACAGCCAGCTAATTCTCTGGATTAAATGCCCTCTGGTTTAAATGCTTAGAGTGAGTTCTGTTTTCCTGTTTGGACCCTAAATCTGGCAGCTAAACAAAAAAAAATGAATTTACTGCACTGAGGGCAAAGACCCTGGCTCCAAAACTGCCAAGTTCAAGGTTCACTGCTATCAGTGTGGGTCCATCCAGATGGAGTAATATAGAGGAGTGAAGAGACAGAACTGATTTCCCTTTTCTCCCAAAGGAACACAGGAGAGAAAATGAATTTGGAGAAAACAGAGAGAAAAGGGTATTATAAATTTCCTGCTTCCCAATCCTCGAGACAATATGGGGAGGAGGCTGCTGAAAAAGACAAGGATGTGACTGAAGCCCCCCCCACCAAAATTTGGGATGAGTCAAAGAGGGGAATTGACCTGTATAAAAACCAAAAACACTGAAAAGATTATAGTACTCCCCTCCTCCAAAAAAGAAATAAAAATAAAATCAATAAATTCAAATTTCCCCATAGTAACTATTTCCATGTTTTTTTTTGTTTTGTTTTTGAGACAGAGTCTTGCTCTGTCGCCCAGGATGGAATGCAGCGGCACAATCTCGGCTCACTGCAAGCTCCGCCTCCCGGGTTCACGCCACTCTCCTGCCTCAGCCTCCCCAGTAGCTGGGACTACAGGCGCCCGCCAACACGCCCGGCTATTTTGTATTTTTAGTAGAGACGGGGTTTCACCGTGTTAGCCAGGATGGTCTCTATCTCCTGACCTCGTGATCCACCCGCCTCAGCCTCCCAAAGTGCTGGGATTACAGGCGTGAGCCACCGCGCCCGGCCAAGTACTTCCATGTTTTTAAAAACACAGCAACATCCTTTCCTCCAAATCTATTTAGTACCACTGCTTTGCTGGGACCCTAAAGGCACACACTTAGTCTGCCTACCGGGTCATCCAGCAAAAGGCCTGTGCAGCCTGCCCTGACCAGAGCTGAGCACAGTCAGTCTCTCAGGGAGGGAGGCGTTTGCTGCCATGGGGGAGCAAGGTGCTGAGGCTGAGTCTCCTGAGGACCCAGCAGTGGTAGAACTGGGGTATGACCCCTTCAGAGTCCCATGTACATTCAACGAAAACCGGAATAACCCAGATTAACCATTCACTTCATTCAACCAACTTATAATAATTTTTGACTGTTTTAATGAAATTTATCATCAGAGAATAAAGTTTGTGCACCAATACACATTTTTTAAAGTGGCTATAAAACTGAAATAACAATGGATTGTTTTTTCACATATAAAAAGATCTTCAGAAATAATAATACGGGCCAGGTGTGGTGGCTCACACCTGCAACCCCAACACTGGGAGTCCAAGGCAGGAGGATTGCTTGAGCTCAGGAGTTCAAGACCAGCCTGGGCAACATAGCAAGACCCCATCTCTTTTATTTATTTTAAAAATTAAATAAATAAATAATTTTTAAAAAGAAACCTGGGGCTGGGCTCGGTGGCTCACGCCTGTAATCCCAGCATTTTGGGAGGCCAAGGTGGGTGGATTATCTGAGGTCAGGAGTTCGAGACCAGCCTGGCCAACATGATGAAACCCCATCTCTACTAAAAACACAAAAATTAGCCAGGCCTAGTGGCATGCGCCTGTAGTCACAGCTACTTGGGAGGCTGTGGCAGGAGAATCGCTTGAATCCAGGAGGCAGAGGTTGCAGTGAGCCAAGATAGCACCACTGCATTCCAGCCTGGGTGACAAAGCAGCCTCCGTCTCAAAAAAAAAAAGAAAAAGGAAACCTGGAACAGTATAAATCAAAATGTTAAGAGTGACTGTCTCTTTAGGAATAGTATGTGTTAGAATTTATACATATATATTTCTTTTCTTTTCTTTTCTTTCTTTTTACTTAAGACAGGTTCTTACTCTGTCATCCAGGCTGACAGAGTAGTGCGATCTCAGCTCACTGCAGGCTCAACCTCCTGGGCTCAAGCAATCCTCCTGCCTCAGCCTCCTGAGTAGCTGGGATTATAGGCATTCACCACCACACCTGGCTATTTGTTTTTTATTTTTCGTAGAGACAAGGTCTCACTATATTGCCCAGGCTGGTCTTGAACTCCTGGGCTCAAGTGATCCTCCCGACTCAGCCTCCCAAAGTGCTGGGGTAACAGGTGTGAGCCACCATGCCTGGCTGTACTTTTCAATAATTATGTATTACTTTTGCAATAAGAAGCTATATATGGGTTTTTTTAAGGTACCACAAGGATAAAAGAATACCAAAGGACTTTTTGTAAATGTCACTGAAATAGGTCTGTAGTCTCCACTTAACAAATACACCAGTAAAGTTTGAGAGTTTTATGTATAAATTACCAGCATATTTGTTTATGAAGACATATTACTTTAAAACACAACTTTATAGCTCATTTATACAACCCCACCACAGTTAGTATGCAGCTCAAAAAATATTTGTTGAATAGTCTAGTATAAAACTTTTTTTTTTTTTTTTTTTGAGACAGAGTCTCGCTCTGTTGCCCAGGCTGGAGTGCCGTGGTCCGATCTCGGCTCACTGCAAGCTCCGCCTCCCAGGTTCACGCCATTCTCCTGCCTCAGCCTCCTGAGTAGCTGGAACTACAGGCGCCCGCCACCACGCCCGGCTAATTTTTTGTATTTTTAGGAGATGGGGTTTCACCGTGTTAGCCAGGATGGTCTCGATCCCCTGACCTCATGATCCGCCTGCCTCGGCCTCCCAAAGTGCTGGGATTACAGCCGTGAGCCACCGCGCCTGGCCTCTAGTATAAAATTTTTACAAATGATCTGGATGAAGAAGAATACAGTGGAGTTGTTAGTTTGCATATGACAGTAAGTTCCTCCAGTTACACATCAGTCACATTTGATGTTACTGTCATCTACTTAAAACTCTTACCATGGTTTCTATAATAGCTCATACTCATAGTCATCCTTCCATCTCAATATCCAGCTGATGTCTCCCCGTGATGAAGATCCTCTTCTTCCTCTGAGCTCGAAGCTCCCCATCTCCAGGCTCTAGTCCTCAGATTTCTGCATTCTTCTTTCCACACTCATTTCCTTGGTGAGTTAATCCATAACCATGCCGTCACCTGTCACCTTGATGCATATAACTGACAGTAGAAAATGACCTTGTTTCACTGGGTGTGGGCATATGTGTCACTGTTGCTACATATGTAAGGTATCTCAATATTGCACAACAGTAATTAATAGAATTGTGTAGTACAACTCCCCAAGGAAAAGATTGCTTGGAATATTTGAGAAAGAGTTGTTGGCACAAATGGCAACTCCTGCCTCCCCTCCCCCAAAAGCAAACCAAATAAAAATAATACATAAATAGAAAAAAAGTGAGCAAAGCATGTGTCTAAAATTCTCAGGTTTATGGTGTTATACCTTGTTTGGGGAAGGAAGGAAGAAACTATGTAAATGCAATAATTGGCAAACGGAAGATAGAGAAAAAAGGTCTTAGAGTCTACATTTTTAAAACTCACTTACATGAACAAAGTACACATTTTTATCAATCACATCTTTGTTTTTTAATTTTTCTGGCAGTCAGTCCCAGCCAGCTGGATTACAGCCAGATTACTCTTGTGTACTCAGCTTTAAGGCAAACCTAACTGCCTCCCTTCTCTTCCAATCAGATTTCTCCCCTTAAGCTTCTCCTACATAGAAATTACAACCCACCACTTAAACCCAGGGTATGTTAAATTTAGGTCCTGAAATAAGCTAAGAGCTAGCCTCAGACCCAATTCACAGAACATAGAGATTATAGATTTTTGGAATTAGAAGACAGCAATTTTGGGCTAATTTTTCATCAATCTTCACTGAAGGGTAGAACTACTAACCTTAACATCTAGCTAATAAATATGTTTCAGAAAAGCAAAACGGGAGAGAAGGAGATGGTTAAGGAGAACAGAACTTCCAAGGCTCAGAACCACTAACACCTCCAGAAGGGGTAAAGGAAGCATCTAATCATATCTAGGCCAATAAAGCTGGCTGTGCTCCGGGCTGACTGCTTTTTAGGACAGTGTGTAAGGACACTGGTTCCGGGACTTGCCAGCCAAGCAGAGGGGTTACTATAAATATTTGTTACGGAAGTTACTCCTCAGAAAAGGAGTGCTAGCCAAACTAAACCAAGATCAAGAGCCAAGGAGAATCAACTGGGCTAGAGAATCAGAGGGGCAAAGATAGAGGCAAAGACAGAGAAAAAAATTAAGTTCAGCTTCTAGAAATGATAAAAGGGCAACAAAATTAATGGGATGCTTCAGATCCAGAGACTGAAATTCACTCTGATCCTACCAAACCTCACCAGGTTAAAGGTTTACCCTGAAGATATAATACGCCTGTGTGAGTACCTGTTCTTTCCTCTGAACCCCTGCTACTTCCTGGAGTTCAGGTTTTCTTCAGATTTGACAGGCAGAAGGCTGCTCTATTTATTAGGGAGATGCTTAGCGGAGGCTGGGAGCTCCAGGTGTGCTCCTCTGATCCTCTGTAGCCTACTCACTCATTCAATTATTATAAGTAACCTAAGCATCTCCAGGAGTGCAGCCAAACACTCTTAACACTCCCCTACAGCTGACTGTAGTGGTACACCCTCCATGACACCACACTGTCCAGGTTTCTTCCAACCAGCTGGCAGCTCTTTCTCAGTCTCTTACTGACCCTTCCTTCTCTACCTGCCCCTGGGTTGATTGATGATCCTCAGGGATCTATTCTAGATTTCGTTTTCCACTCAACTCTCTCTCTCTCTCTCTCTCTCTCTCTCTCTCTCTCTCTCTCTCTCCATGGTAATACCTATGCCCATTGCTCCAATAACCAATTTCTATGTGCCAAGAATGAATCACCAGTCCATTTCTATCAGCTTTCAAATCATATACCTAATTGCCCACAGGATATCTTCACTTGATGGTCTTGTAAGAACTTTGAACTCAACATCCAAACAAGACACATGATTTTCCTCCAAAATATCTTCCCACCCAGTGTTCTCCTACTCAGCAAAGGACACTATCATCCACATAGGTGCTCAGCCAAAAACCTCAGTTATTCTTGAATTCTCCATCTCCCTCACTACTCTCCACATCTAAGCCTTGCTGGACATACCTCCAAAATATGCCCCAAATCTATCTTCCCTACTACCTCTACCCTATGCAGTTCAAACCACCATCATCCTTCATCTGGACTAATTAACAATCCCTTAACTTGTCTCCCAGCATCTAGTGTTGATCCACTCCAACCCACACTATAAAACATTCAAAATGCAGTACTGGTAAGAATCTTAGGCGGAGAAACTGAAGCAGTCCCTGCCCCCAGGTTTGGCAGTGAAGGAGCTGAAATGAACCAGACATGCAGATTTGAACTACATTAAAATTTTTAAGTTAATTTTTTTAATGCAGTGCTGGCAAAGTCAATCCTCTGCATAAAACTCTTGAATAGCTTCCCATTGTGCTTAGGATGAAATACAAACAACTGATCCTGAATTTCAAGGTGCCCCATGGTCAGGTCCCTGCCTCTCTTCAGCCTCATCTCACGTCACATCCCTCTTCCTCATCCTCTACACTCTAGACACACTGAACTTTTGTTCCTTTAATTTCTCTCATCTTTGCACGTTGTTCCTTCTGCCTGAAACTTTCTTCCGACTTTTCATCTGATTACCTCAAAATCATTATTAGATCACAGCACAAACCTTCCTACTTCCTTTACAAACTATGTTCTCCCAAATATGTGTACTCCAATAAGACTCTGTATTTTCTCAGTAATATTTCTGAAGCTTAATATTGCTCAAACTTCATTGTATTCATGTGTGTTTATTCCCTTATCTCTACAAAATACTGTGTCCTCAGTGCCTAGCACAGTACATGGCATAACAGACTCAATAAAAGAATGAGCGAATGAGAAAAAAAATGAATGACAAAATCAGGGTGGGTTGAGCTCCTCAGGGTGAGGAGAGATAACAGGTGGATGCTGATGGAAACAGCATCAAGGACAACAAGACAAGAACCTGTCCTCCCAAGTCTGACAGGGCCAGGTACAGTAGATGTGTTTCAACCACATGGTTCTTTCTTCCTTGGCAATGGGTGCAGCCAGGGCTGTGACACTGGTGGTGCTGAGGCAGGTACACATGGGCACGCAGTGCCCCTGCAGCTGAGTGCACCTAGCCCCCTGCTCAGCTAGGCCGCTTGCTACCTAACTTATCTCAAATGGGCCCAATCAGTCCCTCCTGGACACAGTAAACAGGCCTGCCTCATTCCACATTCAGTCCTGCCTCAGTTTATCGAAAGTGGTGGGTGAGCTGAGGGCACCCTCTACTCACATGAAGGTCTTGTGCATCTTCACAGTTGCCTACATTGTCCCTCTTAAGCCCCCAAACCAGTTTAACGTAGTCCTATCTGATCATTTAATGTCTTTTTAGGTACTGCTCAGACTCTCCTGAATAAAAACTGCTCAGTCTCTCAGATAGCAACCCCTCTCCTGCTTATCTACCTGAGATGGATCTGGATATATCAGGGGAAGGGGACTTCATAGCAGCAGGAAAAAGTTGCAACCCTTGAGGAAGTGCTCCTCTAGCTTCTTAAGATCTCCAGGCCAATGTTCCTTTGCCCCTGTTTGCTGCTTACTCTGCTGGCAACCATGGTCCAGCTCTGTGCTAGTATAACTCCAGGGTCTCTCTCAGCCTGGAGATAGCCTGAGTGGTACCCTCTGGCAGAATAAATTGCACCATCTTCCCCTGGCACTATTTTTTCTGAGTGTGGTTGTGATACCTATTGCACCCCTCAGATGCATGCAACAGAAACCCTTCATAGTCTCTGTGCCAAGGGCTTCCCTGTTGCACATAGGGAATGCCCCACATCTTGACCTCCAGGGTCAGACATCTCCATAAAGTCTCACTGATGTCTCTTTCAAAATAACCTGTCCACGGCCAGGCACAGTGGCTCACATCTGTAATCCCAGCACTCTGGGAGGCCAAGGTGGGTGGATCGCTTGAGCTCAGGAGTTCAAGACCAGCCTGGGCATCATGGTGAAACCTCATCTCTACAAAAAACACAAAAATTAGCCAAGAGTGGTGGCACATGCTTGTGGTCCCAGCTACTTGGGAGGGTGAGGTGGGAGGATGCAGTGAGCCACTGCATCAGAGCGACAGAGCCAGACCTTGTCTTAAAGAAAAAAAAAAAAAATCTGGCCAGGCACAGTGGCTCATGCCTATAACCCCAGCAATTTGGGAGGCTGAGGCGGGCAGATCACCTGAGATCAGGAGTTGGAGACCAGTCTGGTCAACATAGCGAAACCCTGTCTCTACTAAAAATACAAAAACTTAGCTGGGTGTCATGGTGGGCGCCTGTAATCCCAGCTACTCAGGCTGAGGCACAAGAATCGCTTGAACCTGGGAGGCGGAGGCTGCAATGAGCTGAGATCGTGCCACTGCACTCCAGCCTGGGTGACAGAGTGCAAAACAACAACAACAACAAATGTCCACTTAATGTCTACATTTCTTTTCCTATTATCTAGTTCTAGTCTTACCAGGCTATGTCCAGGCTCAGCAAGAAAGAATGCCATGATGAATTTAATGATGTCTGCTATGGATAGATGATAAAGGAATCAAGCCATGAATAACGTATTTGCTGATGTAATCTTTTTCCTCAAATCCATCAATATAAATTAATCTGCCCTCTTTATTTGTATCTACTGAAATCCTACTCATCATC